>NC_000005.10:23035093-23338123 GCF_000001405.40 Homo sapiens | reverse complement strand
TCCATAAGGGAGGGAGTCAGAAGATTTCTGTTCAATGTAATAATTCAGGGACCTCAAATCCTTCAATCTCAAGGCTTTCATATATATACACTGGAGTGCAGTGGTGTGATCTCAGCTCACTGCAACCTCCGTCTCCTGGGTTCAAGCGATTCTCCTGCCTTAGCCTCCCAAGTAGCTGGGACTGCAGGTGCTCGTTACCACGCCCAGCTAATTTTTGTATTTTTAGTAGAGACGGGTTTCACCATGTTGGCCAGGATGGTCTTCATCTCTTGACTTTGTGATCTGCCTGCCTCGGCCTCCCAAAGTGGTGGGATTACAGGCTTGAGCCACCAAGCCCAGCGAAGGCTTTCCTGTATTCTAAGACACCACTTCTCTCTGTTGGAATCTAGCCCTTGGTAAAGAGAACAGGAGGAAAAAGTATACTACTTTTAACTCCTTTGACCTCAAAGTAATCCATGTCACTTCAGCAGACATTCTAAAGGTGGATTCCCGTCACATATCGCCACCTAGATACACAGGACTTGAAAAACATTTTCTAGCTGTACCTTAGCAAATAGAGAAAAAGGCTAATTATTTAAGAACTGTTTTCTTCATCATATGCTGCTACATTATATTTTCGTTTTGTGTTTGTCTCCTTGCCAATAATGGTACTTTACCTACTCTAAATATGTAATAAAAAGAGGTATCTTTTCTAGGTAAATGAAATGTTTATCAAAATGTACTCTGTGTAAACAGTTTAACATTAGTCCTAATGATGAAATTAACAGAGAAATAACACAGCGCATATTGGTAAAGGTAGAATAGATGCAAACTGTCTTTACCACAGCAGGTAGAAATGTCCTCATAATAAGATTTTTAAAAGAACACTGTAAAAATAATATCATTCACTTATAATAATGTTTGTAATTAATGATCAACACTAATTTTATTTTTTATCATTTTGATTTTATAGTAACATAAGTTCAATTGCAAACTCACAAAATAACTTGTGAGTTAAGCATATTTGACAAAATGCCTTTCCTGATCAGTAAATAAATACAACATACTCATTAGAAAAGATTGTAGTTAGTACTGTTAAGACGATGCCACAAATAGACTACAAAGTGTTTAATGGTTAAAGAAGTTTATTTCTCTGGCACATAATGTCCAAAACAGTTTTACTTCTTTGTATGTCACTATCTTCCTGGTGGTGATTCAGACATCAAGGATCATTTTATCCTGGGGCTTTGCCATCTTCAGTGTCTGGCTTGGGAGTTCACGATGCTCATCTATTAAGGTGACAGAATGGAACATAGTGAAATAATTATTGTTGGAGTTTTTCATGGCCAAGGTCTGAAAGTTGTGCATATATTTTCTGTTTATACATCATGAACTATGATTCTGTTCATATGTGATTGGATTGATATGGCTTGGCTCTGTCCCCACCCAAATCTCATCTTAAATTGTAATAATTCCCACATATCAAGGGCAGGGCCAGGTGGAGATACTTGAATCATGCCCGTGGTTTTCCCCATACTGTCCTCATGGTAGTGAATGAGTCTCATGAGATCTGATGGTTTTATAAATGGGAGTTCCTCTGCACATGCTCTCTTGCCTGCTGCCAGGTAAGACGTGACTTTGCTCTTTCTTCTCCTTCCACCATGACTGTGAGGCCTCCCCAGTCATGTGGAACTGTGAGTCCATTAAACCTCTTTCCTTTATGAATTACCCAGTATTGGATATATTATTAGTAGTAGCATGAGAATGGACTATTACAAATATATTAGTCATATTTTTATGCTTAATTTTAAAGAAGTCTTGAAAATACATTTCACAAAGTATTACTGAGGGAACTACTACAGGTTTTGGTCAACAAACAGCAATCTCTCACACTGGATTTTTAAATTCATCTATCTTTACTTTAAAAACTTTATCTATAAATGAATAGATAAATATAAATTTCAGGATAAAAGGTATCAAGACAATAGAAGAAATTTATAAACTACAAGAAATATATACAGATTATCTATGATGTAATAAGTAGCAGATTTCTAATCCCGAACAATAAACAAAAGAGGTCAATAGAATAATATATTTTCAAGGTAGTAAAGACTTGTTCAACTGGAAATCTAAAGAGAACTCAACTAAAATTCTAGACTAAAGATAAAATTACAGTGTTTAAGCTATATTAAAAAGCAAAAACAAAGATACTTTTTGGTCTCAAGAATCTCCCTTCACAAAAGGAAAAAATAAGAAATAAATTTGAACAAATAGTTTAGTAAATCCGAATGATAATTAACTATAGAAGTACTTGAATATATAATGCAAGTATTTTGAGATTATATCATCCTTATGACTTGTCAATTTCTGGAGAAAGTATAATATGTAAGTTAAGTAAAACAATATGTAAAGAATTTCCTCCTATATTTGATTTTTACAAATACTGCCATAATCTCTCTTCTATTTTACATACATAATTTCTTTCTAGTCAATAAATAATAATTTAGAAAGTTAAGATGTTGTAGAAGTATATTCTTCATGACATTCAGTATGCCATATATTTTATACATACATTTTGAATATGTAGATTGTGAATTTCATGTTTGAACATATTTTTCATAGTTTAAATGCGTAGATATATTTCTACTCTACTATCATTATGCCAAAACAGATGAAATTATTTCAAGTGAACTTCAACTCACATCCTCCATATAGATAGCTATCCCTTAAATTATTTCTTTAGCTTTCTAAATATACAATATGTTGGAGGAAAAAAACAGAAATCTTGACAGTTTATGCAGAAATTAGCATGAACAAAATCACCTTTTCTGACTGAGAGTAAAATAAAATTATTCTAAAAATGATTTTAGTGAATGATTTACCTATCTTAACATTCACCTTGGGTCAAAGAAAAACTAAACACAAAACCCCAATGACTTTGTCTGCTATATGTTAAAATAATAGACATCTATGGCTTTTATTACTTATCACAGGTTTTTCATTCATAGATCATTTTGCAATTTACAATGAAATTACTGAAATCTTCAAGTTGTTTCATAATCTAATATATGAACAAATATTTATAAGCTTTATATCTATCTATATATGTGTACTTTTTTAGGAGGAGTTTCACTCTTGTCACCCAGGATAGAGTGCAATAAACTTTACACTTAAAATGATCTTATTCTTTATAGATAATCAAGATGTAACCTGCTTTTATGTAAGTTCTTTTTCAGTCTTTTTTAATCTACAGAAATGTTACTATTAAGAAATGAGCAGGTCAGTTTTTCAGTTTAAATTCACAGATCCCCAAATATGATATATAACCAAATATGACATTTGCATATGAAGATTGTGCAAAGCAAATTTTCTTTAAATGATTAAATATGTGCTATACTCTGTATTTTACATATAAATTATAGCTTTATTTAAACTGAATGTTTCTAAAGTTAAACCTAATTATATTTGAAAATTATGTTTTGATGGGTTTTATATTTGAAACTGAAGAAAGCAAGAAAATTGAGAGTCTTTACTTCACTTTGTGATACTTATAGTAGGTGAGTGTATAAGATATTTCAAAATTACAAGTAAAATTAAAATATTAAGCTTCTTCAGTATGCCAGCTTCTGAGTAATTATATATGTGCATATGTATATACATAAATATATATTCCCTTATGTGGCAATCATATCTTTTTTCTTTTCTTTCTTTTGAGATGGAGTCTTGCTCTGTCGCCCAGGCTGGAGTGCAGTGGTGTGATCTCGGCTCAGTGCAACCTCTGCCTCCTGAGTTCCAGCAATTCTCTTGCCTCAGCCTCCTGAGTAGACTAGCTGGGATTACAAGCGCACGCCACCACGCCCTGCTAATTTTTGTATTTTTAGTAGAGACGGGGTTTCACCATGTTGGCCAGGCTGGTCTCAAACTCCTGACCTCAGGTGATCCGCCTGCCTCGGCCTCCCAAAGTTCTGGGATTATAGATGTGAGCCACTGCGCCCAGCCGGCAATCATATCTTTTTCAGTGTTGATCAGGCTGAGCATTAGAGGTCAAGTAAACTGCCCAAGATTATAGAGAATCAGGATCTTTTATTTGTACATGGGATACCAAATCTCATTTCCTTTCAATACGCTAAGCACTCATTATCTCCTGATAGATGTACAATGCTTCTTTCAGAACACAGAGTTAAAGCAACACCTGTGAGAGGTAAATATGGTTAGTTAAAGCTCCACAGAGAATGTGAGAGATGATCACGGAAATGGGCTTTAAAGGATAAATAGGATTTTACTAACAGTATTGAGACTGATCTTGACACAGGGCCACATCTGACCTAATTCCAAAGGAAAAAAAAAGTGATGAAGCACCGATAGTAGATACATAAGGAAATGAGCAAAACAAAGGAGAAAGAGGAAGGGGAGAATCAAGATATTAATGCTAGTAAGGTGGAAATTTTCAAATGGTTACTAAGAAATTTGAGATTTAAAGTAGACATTCATGGGGTCACAATATGGGTCTTCAGGAAAGATTCTCAGAAGTTGGACAGAACAACAAGACTTCTTGCTGGTCCCAGAATTTAAAGGTCCCTAGAAAAATTGGCTTTCTTCACTCTAGTTTGGAGAAATTCAAGAAAATTGACCTACAGTCATCTGGGACAATTATCCTCCAATTTGTTGAAGATAAGGCCTGACAAGTGGGGCTGGGTTCCTTGGCCTAACCCCTAGCTGGGGTTCAAAGGTCATGTGCACACAAGGCAAGGGGAAATCAGGGTGCACTCAAATTCAGTGTGTTCAAGTTCAGTGCTTACAAGGTCTGTTTTCTACCCAACAGTATAACCAAATTCTGCTTAGTTTGCTATCATTTTAAAATAAGAATCTCCTTTTCTCCAGTTTCCAATATCATGTTTCTCATTTCCTTTTGAGACTCATCAGAAACACCTTTAATGTTCTACCAACATTCTGTTCATGAAGATTTATCTATTCTTCAAGATGATAGAAGCTTTCTCTACCATGCTTTTTACAGCCAATAAGCCTTCATCAATAACATCTTTAGCATCTATATTTTTACCAAATGACTTTTCAAGGCAATCTAGGCACTTTTTGTCATATGCCCCAAAGTTTGTCCAAGGTTTGTGTGTCTTTTAACCCATTCCAAGGCACTTTCCATTTTTTTATATTAGATACAGCAGTGTCCCAATCTCAGTACAAAAATCCAGGTAGCTTAAAACAAAATACACTTACTCTCTCACATTTCTGGAGGCTGTAAGTAAAAAATCAAGGTCTCAATGAGGTTATGCTCCCTCTAGAGGCCCTAGAAAAGAATCTTTCTTTGCCTCTCCCAATTTCTGGTAATACCAGCGTTTTTGGCTTGTGGCAGCATAACTCAACTTTCTGCCTCCATCTGCAAATGGTCTCCCTGTGCATTCTCCTTTTTCTTATACAAGAATAGACTTAGGGTCCATCCTAAATTTAGGGTAATTTCATCTTGAGGTCTTTAATTACATGTGCAAAGAACATATTTCTAAATAAAGTCACATGCTGAGGTTCTTGGTAGATATAAATTTGGGGGGACACTCTTCAACCCACTGAAATATAATACAAAAATATATAAGTCAAACAACTTATAAAAGAACTTCTTTTAAATTTTCATATTACATTTACAATAAATAGGTAATTTTCCAACCCTTTTCTTTTATTTCTCTTGAATTAATGTGGCTGATCTTATTCTAACCCATCTTAATTCTGGTCAATATGCAACCTCGTTTTCAATTCCTTTTTTATGGCATTTACTTACTTACAGAATAAATCAACTTACTTCACAATACTAAGCATTATGATCTGATTTGTTGTGAGACTGCAGAATCTGGAGTATAGCCAAGGATGACCCTTCTAGGGCTATAAGTAGGCAAAGCAGTCACTCTGTCACCAAGTAATTTAACTGTGCAACGGAACACAACTTGTCCAAAAGTATGTTTGTCCCTCATGTTTGTTTATGCTATTTCTTCAAGCAATTGATGTGAAATGACATACCTAGAGTTGTTTTTAGGGCTAGAAAACAAAGACATAAATACTTTGCTAAAATCTGTGTGCTACCTATGCACTGCTTGTGGTATACCTTCCTTTACTCTTCTAGACTTGGGTACCTCAGAAAGCTGCCCCATTTAATTTTCTTAAATCTGGAGTCAAAGGGAAAAGAATGGAGCATATTTCCAATAATCATAAAAAAGCCAAGGGCATATTAACTTTCTTATTTGCTTCCAGTAAGATGGAACATGGATGAACAAATTAATGGCAATTAAAATGAATTGTATGCTGGCATGCCTTTTCATGCCTACAATAAATGTTAAAATTTGCAATTAGAGGTGCTCTCTAAAAGGATATCATTGTCACTAAGGTCATGCATGTATTGGGTAATTTTCAGCTGCTCTGCTAAGTTTCAGTTATATTGGCATCCATCTTTAATGTGTGATCATTTTCTTAAAACATAAATCCAGATTTTAAGACTTCAGATCAATTTAAAAACTCTGTTCCTCCTAATACTGCTAAAGTATATGCAAAGTTTGGCACCTTTTCATTTGCTAAATTTTTATATTCATTATTAGAAAAAAAATTCTGTAATAAAGACTACTGAACATCTTCTCTTCCATACACATTTCCAAGTCATTATTCTCTTTATAGGGTAATTCAGTTTTGTTAATGTTCAATGGGGCAGTAGAAATAATATAGTAAGCTATTATTTTTTCTTTTATATCAAATGGGCACTAGCCTTCAATTTCCATTCTCATCAAGACTCTCTTTATTGTCTATTTAAGCAGGGTTTCAGACTATTCCTAAAGCCATGTACTTTGCAGCTGTCTAAAGCCATGGCTACATATTTTCTTTTTATATTTATTCCAAACACATTGTTCTAGTTTATTGTATGTCTAAGTAAGTAATACAAATATATAGGGTTAAACATATGACATATTTAAGCAAACTAAAATTATCCTTCAATTATTACAGGTGGTGCAATGTAGAGAGATAAGTTACTACTTTGTTTAATTAAAAAAGACAAAAGCTTGATATGAAATGTTTCCAAAATTAGCACAAATATGATAAAATCATTTTTGTTTGCATACTTTCGAAGTTTCTCCCCACAATACATATTAATTGTGAAGATAAAAACATAACCTTACTATTTAGAAACCTGTCATACACCACTTTGACCAAGCATACAAAGTTAACGTAACCAGTAATGACTCATATTGCCATCATCCACCCACTGAAATGATGTATCAAAAAAACATAAACCATTACTTCCATTATATTTTTACTAAAAATACATACCATAATCAGGAGAAAACATTAAAACGCTCATTAAGAACACTCTTGAAATAACTGGCCAATACTCTTCAAAAGTTTTAAAGTCATGAAAAGCAAAGAAAAAAATGAGGAATTGTGTTGGAAGACACTAAAGAGACATGACAACTAAATATTTGGTCCTAGATTGGATCTTGCACCAGAAAAAGGAAATTAGTTGGACACATAAATTATTATATTTTTCTTTTTGCCCTAATCTTTAGAATCTGTGACATAAATTAATTTGAATAATACTGGTAGATTATTACTCATATTAATTTATTTTCCTAGTGTTCATCATTGGTTATATAACATGAAATTTTTAAAATACTAGATGAAGGATATATTTATATATTTTGAAAAACTTGGGTTCCCTTTTTGTAAGTCTGCATTTATTTCAAAATTAAAAAATAAACACTCATG
Source organism: Homo sapiens (assembly GCF_000001405.40). Lineage (NCBI taxonomy): Eukaryota > Metazoa > Chordata > Mammalia > Primates > Hominidae > Homo > Homo sapiens. Next base: position 23,330,392 of record NC_000005.10, on the reverse strand, counting down.
ACACAAAATTGTGACAGATGTTAGAATATTTAAATACAGTTGCAGAAAATTATATAGGTTTTTATTGCTAAAATCTTTATTTTGAAATATAAAACGAGTTATTCATCTTTCTTGTGAGATCATAGCACCCACATAAAGTAGGAATAAGAATTAACCCAATCATTTCAGAAATTTGAATTACACTTTTTAATCCATTTGTAATTATTAATATATACTCTATATTTGTGCATATAGAGAAATACATATCTATAGATTATCTATATATGGGTGTGTTTATGTGTATGTGTGTGTGTGTGTTTATGTGTATGTGTGTGTGTATACATATACATCATTGGTTATATAACATAAAATTTGAAAAACACTGGATGAAGGATTTTTAAAAATTTTTTGAAATATTTTTGTCTCTTTTTGTAAGCCTGAATTTATTTCAAAATTAAAAAATAAACACACACACAGATGTGCAGAGAGAGAAAAAGAGGCAGAGAGAGGAAGAGATGGCAGATTATAAAAGATCTTATGGTTCTGCTGAATGAGATTCTGGAACAAGTGGAAGATAAAATATGTCTGAGATCATTAAAGTAAATCAAAATGAAGTTAGAAAAATTCAATAGAGGAATACAGGATATGATAACTAAGCAGTAGCAGTAAAGAATGCCAAAATGACTGTCATTGTACAAAGTAAAATAAAAAGAATAAAAAAGCATGTGTGACTCTCAAGCATATGTCATGCAAGCAGCCCTAGCATCAAAATCTACTCAGCAGAATACGAGCAGAGGTCAGAGAAGGTGACAGGACAGTTTGCCTGGTGTGAACAGATGACATCAAACTCTCAGGCTAACATAATGTGATCTAGAAGTTCCAGAACCAGAATCAGAAATAAAGGTGACTCAGTCAAATGGTAGCTCTGTTTTAAGTTGTTAGAGAAATCTCCAGACTGATTTCTAAGTGGACGAATTCATTTACATTCCCACCAGCAGCATATAAACATTCCCTTTTCTCTGCAGCCTAGCTAGCATCTCTTGTTTTTTGACTTTTTAATAATAGCCATTCTGACTGGTGTAAGATGGTACATCATTTTGGTTTTGATGGACATTCCTCTGATGATTGGTGATGCCATATATATGTAACTTTTCCATGTTTGTTGGCTGCATGTATGTCTTCTTTTGAGAAGTGTCTGTTCATGTCCTTTGCCCATTTTTTAGTGGAGTTATTTGCTTTTTACTTGTTTGTTTAAGCTCCTTATAGATTCTGGGCATTAGGCTTCTGTCAGATGCATAGTTTGTGAATATCTTCTCCCATTCTGTGGTTGTCTATTTACTCTGCTGATAGTTTCTTCTGTTGTGCAGAAGCTTTTCAGTTTAATTAGGTCCCACTTGTCTATTTTTGCTTGTGTTGCCATTGTATTTGGGGACTTACCCAAAAATTATTTGCCAAGGTCAACATCAAGAGGAGTATTTCCTAGGTTGTCTTCTAATATTTTTGCAGTTTGAGGTCTCACATTTAAGTCTTTGGTGTATTTTGAGTTAGTTTTTTTATGTGGTAAAATGTAAGGGTCCAGCATCAATCTTCTGCATAAACCTTCTTGCCAATTATCCCAGAACCATTTAGTGAATAGGGAGTCTTTTCCCCGTTGCTTGCTCTGGTCAGCCAAGTTAAAGATAAGATGATTGTAGGTGTTTGACATTATTTTTGAGTTTTCTATTCTGTTCTTCTACTGAAAGGAAAGTAAGTAATTCTACCAAAAAGACATATGTATTCATATGTTCATCTTCACGCTATTCACAATAGCAAAGACACGCTGTCATCCCTGATGCCCATCCATGGTAGACTGGATAAAAAAAGTCATACATATAACCATGGAATGCTGTGTAGCCAGAAAAAAAAATGAAATTATGTTTGTTTTTGCGGTAATATGAATGCAGTTGAGATAGGTACTATGCTCACTACCTGGGTGAAAGGATCCATACCCCAAACCTCAGCATCACACAATATTCTCATGTAACAAAAACTTCACATGTACTCCCTGTATCTAAAATAAAAGTTGAAATTTTGAAGAAAAAAATGAAGGTGAGATCATAGAGAGCAATCCACACAGCAGCACTGGAAAACAATAAACTCAATTTTGCACAATTTAGAAATGCATACATAAGCTAGACATAATGGAGGTGGTCTCCTTACTATAATATTTTTGAAAATGATAGTTATTTGCTTTAATAAAGTTATTTTTGTGTGGATATACTTTATTTGTAGTCAAGTAACCTTATTGATCATTAGATCAATCGTACACTTGTTTATATTAACGACAAGAAAAAGAATGAAACTGGTAAATCTCAAAGAATTAATTTCATTTCCGAAAGGTATTGTAGCAAAAAGCAGAAATTAAATTTTCTCCCTAGAATAAGAGAAAGAATTCTCTGAAGTTGTGCTTGACTCTTTTATCATAGAATGAAGGGATGCTTACATTTGTATGCTGGCTATGTATTTTGCTTGGCTTCAAATAAAGGAATCCCATAACAATCTGCTTTTTATAAATAAATATATTACAAGACATTATATTTTTAGTGATTTATCTAGCTTAAACAAACACAAGGTCAAATTTAGAATATTGGAATGTCATTCTTTGAAACAAACTAAATTATTTTGCTTGAATTATAAAGTATAGAAATTCTTTGAACCGGTGAAAGCTAATCTGGCCCAAATTTAGTGTTTTGTTTTGGTTTTTTTCTCTTTACATTTCTGTTTTCTCTTCAAATGTTATTGTATACAGTAATTGGAGATATGTTTGGAAATATTTATACATTAATGCATATGGATCCTTTCATCTAATAAGTCCATATGCAATTCAAATGTTATCAAACTTTTTTTCAGATCCCAAGAGATTCATAGGCCACTACATGACCTAAACAAGGTTTATATGCATTTTTCTGCAAGTTGATAGAGATTTAGCTTTTTAAATTTAAGTTCTATTGCCTGAAGTGAAATTGTGAACCCCTGAGCTTAATTCTTTCAAAGAAAATATTATCTCAACAGAGTTTGTCAATTAAATCCACCTTTCTTTCGCTTTTTATTTTTTCCTTGTCATCAAAATTATTATTCTTCTTTAAATAGCTACATGGTTACATGAGTTAAAACTAATAATCACTATGGAAAACAGAATTTTTCATGCTATAAGTAGAGAAGTGAAGAGAGTTGCAGTATTATAATTATTTTTATTTTTACTGTTATTTTTTATTTATTTATTTATTTTTTTGATGGAGTCTCACTCTGTCGCCAGGCTGGCGTGCAGTGGCATGATTTCTGCTCACTGCAACTTCCACTTCCTGGGTTCAAGCGATTCTCCTGCCTCAGCTTCCTGAGTGGCTGGGACTATAGTGATCTCCTCCTTACTATTCAGACCACAGTTTAAATGTCTTTTTTGAATAAGAGATGCTGGTGAGGCTGCAGAGAAAAGGGAATGCTTATACACTGCTGGTAGTAAAAACTAAGAAAAGATGCAGACTCCTACTCTAATGCCTCTCACTGTTTCATTCAAAAATAAAATTAAAAATACAGTTGCATATCACACAGACACAGCATTGATTATAGAAGAAACATCAATTTGCAAGAGAGGCCCTGAACAGAAGTCTCTGTGCCTCAGCTGTAAGACTCCTGTGGGGAGAGAAAGGAAAGCCCTTGATGTCTTTTAACACATTCTACGTTGACCGAAAATTCATCAGGTGATGAATAACGGGAAAAACAATCAATACATAGAAGCAGAGGCACTTATCTAGGCTAATTGGGAAGTGACAACAATTTAGCAGAATCTTCATCCCGACTTTAACATTTATTTAAAATAGAACTTTTTCAGCCCTAGAGAAATAATGTAGAATTGTAGAGTTCTCAGCTAATCCCACCCAAACCGAGTGAGGCATCTTCGATATATTCCAGGGAGAAGCTTCTACAGGTAGCTGTTTACTGTGCAATCATCAAAATTGCATTGTGCAAAGCTGTAGGACAGCATCCACAGAGGCTTTCCACAAGAAAAAGCACACCCCTCCCCACTCCTCTTCTGTCAGTCTCCCCTTCCCTGAATTCTCTCCCTCCAATTCTCTTATATGTTATTCAAGTAGTTTTAATATAGTCTGGCTGAACATAAAATTACTGATTCTTCATCTTGTTTCTGAAGACATTCAGCCTACATGTAGGCCAGTCAGCCTACATACCTTTTTTTTGTTTTTCATGCCCATAATAATTTCTCCTGTGTTTAAGCAGTTATCTATGTTACATCCTGTTACACATTTATCCATGCAATTGTTATATAGTATGTTTGTAAATATATCAAAACAATAACAATTGATGTTATTTATTTATTTATTTATTATTATTATTTTTTTGAGACGGGGTCTCGCTCTGTCGCCCAGGCTGGAGTGCAGTGGCGTGATCTCGGCTCACTGCAAGCTCTGCCTCCTGGGTTCACGCCATTCTCCTGCCTCAGCTTCACCGGTAGCTGGGACTACAGGCGCCCACCACCACGCCAGGCTAATTTTCTTGTATTTTTAGTAGAGACGAGGTTTCACCATGTTGGCCAGGATGGTCTCGATCTCCTGACCACTTGATCCACCCGCCTCAGCCTCCCAAAGTGCTGGGATTACAGGCGTGAGCCACCGTGTCCCGCCTGATGTTACTTTTAATCTTGATGCTGTTTGAGTGTGAAGGGAGAATCATTGCTTCTTTTTTAAGGTGATTGCGTTTTTACTAATTCATTGTTTTATATTTATTATTGAGTGTGGGATTGCTCAAATGAGTCTCTGTTTTTAGTTTACAGAAGGAGAGATATGACATGTTGTCATTCGGGAAAGGAACTTGACTAATTGTTCATGTGATGCAGAAGCATAATTTTTTTCTGCTAGTTTCCAGCTATTCAAAGCCTCAGGCTTTCTCTTTATTCTGGTAATTTCTTTGGGTTTCTAGAGAATAAGGCAGTATTATCTGGATTCTGGTGCTCAGGCAATGAGAATGGGGTCAAAAATAAGGTCACAGAGTCTAGATCTCCATATCAAATGTGCTAGATAAACGCTGACAGTCTTTCCCGGGCACTCTCCTGATCCTGTATCCACTAGTACCAAGATGTGTACATTTTGAAACTGATCCCTCCTGTCTCTTTTTTCTCTGTAGTGAATGATTTACAGAGTGGTTTCCTCTGTAGATCTGACTGCATTAGTTTTCTATTGCTACATAACAAATTGCCATATACTTAGCAGACTTATAAACATCCATGTGTCATCTCACTGTCCTGTAATTTAGAAGTCAGAGCAGGTTAGACTGGGTCTTCCGCTCAGGGTCTCACAATGTTGAAATTGATGTGTCAGCTAGATCATGTTGTTTCTGGAAAGTCTGGGGAAGGATCTGCTTCCAAATTCATCTAGGTGGTGGACAGTGTCGCTCTGTGATGTTTGGGACTGAAGCCTCTGCTTCACCATTGGCTATCAGTCCTGCTCATCCTCAGCTTCAAGAAATCACCCGTATTTCTTGAATCATGGTTTTTTCCTTTTTTTTTTTTTTTTTTTTTTTTTTGAGGCGGAGTCTCACTCTGTCGCCCAGGCTGGAGTGCAGTGGCGCGATCTCAGCTCACTGAAAGCTCCGCCTCCTTGGTTCACGCCATTCTCCTGCCTCAGCCTCCTGAGTAGCTGGGACTACAGGCTCCCGCCACACCACGCCCGGCTAATTTTTTTTTTTTTTTTTTTTTTTTTTTTTTTTTTAGCAGAGACAGGGTTTCACCATGTTAGCCAGGATGGTCTCGATCTCCTGACCTCATGATCCACCCGCCTCGGCCTCCCAAAGTGCTGGGATCACAGGCGTGAGCCACTGTGCCCAGCAGGTCTTTTCCATTTTTAAATTTAGAAATTGTGACTTGAATCTTTCTTGTACATCAAATCTCCCTGACACCCTCTTCTGCCACCAGCAGGGGAAGGTTCTCTGCTTTTAAGGACTCATGTTATTGCAATAAGTCTACCTGGGTAATTTTCTTATTTTGTGATCAACTACACCTTATAACATAAAATCATTATGAAAATAATATCTTATGATATTCACTGGTTCTGGGGCTCAGGGTAAAAACATCTATTTAATATGAATGGTCATTTTAGAAAATCATTGCAGATTAAACTACTACGCTTTCTTATTTCCAAAGATTCTTCCTTTTCCTGGCTCACCACCAGAAGTTACTCATGTTTTTTAGCATTAATACCAATATTTTTCTTGAAAACCCTATACATATGTATGTTTGTAAATATCTATATTATGATAATTTCTAAATATTTGAGATAGGAAGAAAAGTCTAAGTAATCATTCATTTATTCAAAATTTTTATTAATGCTGCATTACTGAAGAGTCCAGGGATATGTGGGTCAAGGAGACAGATGATGTGTTTGTTGATATGGCACTTGCCTTTCATGGTGATAGACAAATAGCAGAAGATTAATAAATGCATAAAAACAGTTGTTTTGTTAGCCTCTCTTTCACTCCATCAGTGAAGGAGGAATTCTGGTCAGAATGGCTATAGGAAGGCTGAACACTGCATAGATGAGATAGACGGCAGTTTACTCATCATAGATAGAATCCAGGGAAGGAGAGCACCACATTTCATGTGGGGGCACGCAGAGGTTAAATTCAGGAAGAGAGTGAAAAAGTATGGGCCATAGGAGGCTGGCTTTTTAGTATCACAAAGGTGGGTGCCCTCTAGTTTCCACAGGAAGATATGACTTGGCTGAATAATTCTGCAGGCTAGGAGGGAAGCAAAACCCACTATTCTGGGTTTACTAAGGTAAGTATCTAAGGAATATGCCTTATCTCCTTGAAAGAAATGTTATTTAGTGGCCAGGCGCAGTGGCTCACACGTGTAATCCCAGCACTTTGGGAGGTGGGCAGATCACCTGAGGTCAGGAGTTCGAGACCAGCCTGGCCAATATGGTGAAACCCCATCACTACTAAAAGTACAAAAATTAGCTGAGCATGGTGGCAGGTGCCTGTAATGCCCGCTACTTGGGAGGCTGAGGCAGGAGAATTGCTTGAACCTGGGAGGCGGAGGTTGCAGTGAGCTGAGATCATGTCATTGCACTCCAGCCTGGGCAACAGGACGAGACTCCGTCTCAACAACAACAACAACAAAAAATTTGGTGACAAGGCCTTATCCATGGAAGCAGAATGGGAGAAGGAACTTGAAATGAGGCCATTCAAAACCCTCCTGGTTTCACAGGATGTCAAAGCAGCACTTATTATTGAACCTTAATTTTATGCCTTATGCAAGAACAGTTTATGAAAAAAATATGAGTACCGTATTAAAATCATTAGATAGAATGTTATTAGGTTGGTGCCAAAGTAATTGCGGTTTTTGCTGTTACTTTTAATAATTGACTAGAGGACTGATAGGCTGGAAATAGAATGGTTAGGGAAAGCTTCATTGCAAAAATAGCATTTTATTTATTTATTTATTTTCAACTTTTAGTTTCTGGGGTACATGTACAGGTTGGTTCTATAGATAAATTATGTGTCACGAGGATTTGATGTGTATATTATTTCATTACCCAGATAATAAGCATAGTACACAAAAAGCAGTTTTTCAATCCTTACCCTCCTTCCAGTTTCCAGCCTGTTGCAGGCCCTGGTGTCCACTGTGCCCTTCTTTTTTGTCCATGTGTACTCATGTTTAGCTCTTACTTGTAACTGAGAACATGTGATGTGTGGTTTTCAGTTTTTGTGTTAGTTCACTTAGAATAATGGTTTCCAGCTCCATGCATGTTGATGCAAAGGACATGATCTCATTCTTTTTATGGTTGCATAGTATTTCACGGTATATATGTAGCACACTTTCTTTATCAGCTTACTGTTGATGGGCATTTAGGTTGATTCCATGTCTTTGCTATTGTGAATACTGCTGTAATGAATATATGAGTGCATATACCTTTACGGTAGAAAGATTTATATTCCTTTGGGTATATACCCAATATTGGGGTTGCTGGATCAAATGGTAGTTCTATTTTAAGTTTTTTGAGAAATCACCAAACTGCTTTCCACAGTGGCTGAGCTAATTTACATTCCTACCAGCAGTGTATAAGCATTCCCTCTTCTCTGCAGCCTCACCAGCATCTCTTATTCAAAAAAGACATTTAAACTGTGGTCTGAATAGTAAGGAGGAGATAGCTATGTGAAGTTTAGGAAAGGCACATTTTAAAGAGGAAGTAGACCTAATGTGGAAATCTCAAGGTCAAAATAAATTTTTCCTGATTAAGGAATAGAAGGAATTTCAGTGAGACTGTGATATCATGAATGAGTGAGGGAGTGATGGGAGATAAACTAGAGAGCTAAACTATGTTTAGGCGTATGCAGGATTTTTAAAACCAGGTCAAGTCTATTCGGTGCACAATCAGAAGTTATTTAAGGATTATAAATAGGGCAGTGACATTGTCTGGACAATGATTTAATTAGAAGTGATGAAAAGAATCAGCCAGTATGCAGTTTAAGAAGGAAAGGGGACTTATTATAGAGATCTGGACACTCTAATGTTAGCTGTCCAGCCAAGGAAAGTTTGGCCAAGAAAAATATGCTTGGTCTCCCACCAGAACACAAATCTTAAATCACTTCTTTAGGAATTCATAATTTGGCATCATTTATATCACATTTTTGGTAAATCAGGGAAAAAGAAAATTATATTGACTAATGAGAGAGCACCTATAACCTATAACTTTCAAATTTATAGGAATTTAATGTAAGATTGTCAATGTTAGAGACTTACGTATTTTTATCTTTTCTTGGAGACAGGGCCTCACTGTGTCACCCAGGCTATAGTGTAGTGGTGATCAGAGTTCATTGCAGACTTGAACTCCTGGGCACAAGTGATCTTCCCACCTCAGCCTCCCAAGTGGCTAAGATTACAGATACATGCCATCATGCCTGGCTTTAAGTATTTTTATATGCTGGAATACATGTTTAAAGGGGATGATCTTTTTGTATTTTTCTATTAATTACTGTCATGACATTTTGCTATAACTTTCTAAAACTTAAAAGATAAATTTAATTATGTACAAGTAATTAAAATGTACACACATACACACACTGAAAATTACAATTTGTGTTTCTCTATCATTCTACATCCCTGATCTTTCTAAGATGATTTTAAGCAATTATTTTTTAAATATTGCAGCTTTCCTACTATTATCAATAAGCTGATTTAAGAAGTGCATCTATAAGGTAGTATACCTTTTAAAATCCACTTCCATCTTCATTTTTTTAATGCAATGAATATAATCAAATGAAATTTGATGATAAATTTAAAAAGCAGACAATTAATATACTTTATTGGAAATTCACTCAAAACCACATAGGTGACAAATAATTGAAGCCACATTTGAAAACCTGTTTGAAATTCTTGCCACCTTACCAGGGTAATAAGAATTTTATGAAAATTGAGAAAAAGCAAGAAATAGCAATCTGATTGAAAATATTATCTCTTCAAAATAGTTGAGGAAATTGCATTTATAGTCCCAGTAATAGAAAATTATCTGAATACCTCAGTAAATGTGGCAGAATGGCAAGAAGAATAATCAAAAAACGTTTTCAAATATGACTTCAGAGAAATAAAAAGGATATTATAAAAATTTAAATTCAAGACTTAAGAAAATTTTCTCATACATTAGGGTACACAGAGATCTGCGGGGATACTGCTTTAAAATGTGTCAAAAGGATGGGAATTCTTCAAACATTCTGATTCATATGCTCTAGAATGAGACCCAAAAATCCCAATTGTAAACTTACATATCGCAAAAACTCTAGAATAGAATACCATGGACCACCTTTTCTAAACACTGACCTAAGATATTTGAAGAAAACATCTTTATATTTAACATGACTGAAATGCAAACAAAATTAATGCAACTTTTTCAAATCTTCAGCAGAAAAAATGAAAATCTTCTAAGTATTATATTATTGTCCATGAATAAATATATATTTAATGTTATTTATGGTAATTCAAATAATTATAGGAATTGATTTTTAAATTACATTTGTTTTGGACAGTAAGAGAAATAAAATAGTTAAAAGTTTAAACATCTTTAATATTGGAGTTGGGAAGAAAGGGTGACAAATTTTGTACATAGATTATAAATTGCTTAATAGAGAGATAAAAATGCAATTGATAGAGGACAGAGGATATAGAGGCTTTGAGGAAAAAGAGAGATAGAGAGAGAACAGCAAAGCACACAGAGAGAAAAACACTCAGGCACTCATTTCCAGGGAAGTTGCTCCCACTCAGTGGGAGTAATATCCTCAGTATCATATTCACCGCAGCTGAGTTCTGCAAGCTTCAGTTGGAAATTTCTGCTTAATAATGCATTTTAAAGCTTCCTGTAGTTTTATCTTGAAATCATTGAAAATGGAATTGTTTCTGTGATTGTGGGCGTGCTATTAGAATTATACTTTCGGAACAAGCTTCTATTTTTGCCACTGTCTTTACTATATGTTTAAACGCACTGGTACTGACCCCATGAATATTAAAATGATAATGAAGAATATTATGAATCACTCTATGCTCTATTGAAACAACTTTGATGAAATAGACCAGTATTTTTTAGGACACAAACTCCCAAGCTTAACACAAGCAGAAACAGATGAACTGATCTTTCAGGCCCGGTCATAGTCAATTACAAAGTTTTACTGGCAGGTTTCAAGGGGGAAGGTGGCTCTCCCCACTCAACACTCGGTGCACAGCCAATGCATTGCAACCTTTGGAGATAGTTATAGTCAAAGATTCACCCCCACCCCCACAATGGCAGGCCACACTTTTAGGCACATATGCCTTCCTAGCTTAGACATCCCCATTCAGAGGCCTCCTATGGCAGGCTGGGGAGGCTACACTGACAGAGTATTCAGAACGTCTACTGAGACCTCCTTATTGGTGGCCTTGAGATATTTCTTCAAGCTGGCTCAGTAATTTTCCATTATCAGTAATTTTAAACGTTCATCTGACTCTCTGGGTCCACAAAATGGCAGAAGGCTTTTGTTCATGGCTTCCTCAGCAGTTTTTTCTCATGATTATTCCCATTTATGCTGATCCATCTCACCCTCATCCTGTGCTGTTCCATGTGAAAAAAAAATGGAACATTGTGGAAGTTGGTAGAGTTCCAAATAATTTATGTAGATACTCTACCCTCAAGGAGTGGAGGGCATATTTCCTCATTCCTGAAAGAGTAAGGCAACCTTACAACGGAAAACCCTGACCAACACTACCTCAAACATGGGCTTATGGCCAACACTGACATGATCATAAACCATGTTGCTAGCATATACTCTTAATCATCAAAAAAAAATATATTGGGGAAATCCTACAGAATACCTGGTTAATATCCCTCAAAACGGTCAATGTCATCTAAAACAAGAGAAGTCTGAGAGACTGGCTGCTAACAGTGGCCTACAGAGACATGTCAAGTAAGTGGAATGTGGTATCCTGGATGGGATTTTAGAAAAGAAAGGGTATTAGAAAGAAAATCTGAACAAAGACTTAATAATTTATGACCATTTGTTCTTAATTTTAACAAATGTTCCACACTAATATAAAACATTAAAAACAGGGGGAACTGAGCGTGGAGTTTATGTCAATTGTCTGTACCACCTTTGTAATTTTTCTGTAAATATATAACTGTTCCAAGATTTAGATAGTTTATATTTTTTAAAGTTTTGTTTCATAACCACTGCATTATTGGCCATAAATATGAAAATCTTACTGTTTAATATGTATATGAAATACATTGCACTGTATTAGGCACAAGGTATATTCTATAAAGCATCTCCCAGAAACATAAACTACACCCAATATCAACCTAAAGTATTAAATTTGGAAGGACAGAATGGATAGCATGTTGGTTCTAGCGCCAATCACATACACATAGAAACCTTCTTTGTTAGCCATGAAGGCATGATTACAATAAAAACTATTGGGTAAATGCCAAACTCTACCATTACTAAAGGAGAAAAGGTGGGAGTTGTAGAACAAAGCCAAGTTGTAGGGGTGACAAATAGGAGGCAGCAGAGTAGACAGATACATTTCTTTTGTATTGCTCAACATATATAATGGATAATAGCAGATCTAATAACAGGAAGACTGGCCTTTTTATGCCATAATAGCATAATTGTAAAACCACAAAAATATTCTAAGGAGATAACTTTCATTCACTGTTTTGATAGAGATTGTTTGGAATTTTGTTTTGTTTTAAAAGCTTTAAAGATTCTGAAGCCCTATAGCTTCCAGTGCTAATTTTAAAAAACTTTTCATTATGATAAACATAATATTAACCACTTAAACTCTTTTTAAAAATATAATTCATTGGCCAGGCATGGTGGTTCATGCCTGTAATCCCAGCACTTTGGGAGGCTGAGGCCAGCGAACCACCTGAGGTCGGGAGTTCAAGATCAGCCTGACCAACATGGTGAAACCCCGTCTCTACTAAAAACACAAAATTAGCTGGGTGTGGTGGTGCATGCCTATAATCCCAGCTATTCGGGAGGCTGAGGCAGGAGAATTGCTTGAACCAGGGAGGCGGAGGTTGCGGTGAGCTGAGATTGTGCCATTGCACTCTAGCCTGGGCAACAAGAGCAAAACTCCATCTCAAAAAAAAAAAAAAAATCATTGGCATTAAATACATTCACAATGTAGTGTAAACATCACCACTAGCTACTTCCAGAATGTATTCATCACCCCAAAAGGAAAGTTCATATCCAGTAATCAGTCACTTCTGAATAACTCCTCTTCCATTCCCTAATAGTTACTTATCTGCTTTCTTTCTCTGTCTCTGGATTTGCCTATTCTGGATATTTTATATAAGTTGAATCATACGATATGTGTTTTTTGTGTCTGGCTTCTTTCACATAGCATAATTTTTTCAAGGTGAATCCATGCTGTAGCATGTATCAGTACTTCATTCCTTTTCATGGCTGAATAATATTTCATTTTATAAATACATCACATTTTGTTTACCCATCCATTTGTTGATGGGTGTTTAAGATGTTTCTATGTCTTAGCTATTGCATATAGTGCCACTTGGAACATGACTATACACATTTTTGTTTGAAAATCTGTTTTCAGTTCTTTTGGTTACACACCTGGAAGCAGCTTCACTAGGTTATAGGGTAATTCTATGTTTAACTCGTTGAGAAACTCCTAAACTTTTTCCCACAGTGGGAGTACCATTTTACATTCCCACCAGCATACTTCCAGTGCTATTGTTCATGCTTTTTATTCTTCTCATTTTTGAATGGGAGATTGCCCCTGCTACCAATCCATGTATAGTTTGTAATACAGAGTTTGATTTATACTCAAATCTGAAATCTTTTTGTTATGTGAGATATGAATTAAGGAACATTTTTTTCTTTCTGAAACTCAGGTTACTCATCTTAAAGTGGGGTAATTCTTACCTTATAAATTTCTCAGTATTGCAACAAACAAGAGAGAAACTTTTAAATTTGCATGCCTTGCCATCTTATCAGAATTGTCACTTATGCTGTTCATCTTTATATATTTGTTTCTCTTGCTTTTGTTTAAATAGAATGTTGTGGTTTCCTCCTAACAACTGAGTCAATTTGCATTTGCTTCTATGAGCTGCCCTTTCAAATACTGCCCTTCTGAGATTCACATTAGCCCTTCTTTACTCCTAAGTCTTTTGACTCAAGTGACCACTCACAGAGAGAAATTTACTCTATGTTGATGATTCTCATGCCTATATCCCAGCTCAAACTATCCTCACAATTGCAGATCAGAACATGTGTCTCCTAGATATATCTATGGATATGGTATACAGACACATCAAACTTCACAAACTCCAAACTGAAATTTGATTCTCCTTAAACTCAGTGCCTTTTCCTTGTTTCTATGAACGTGAATGACACTGACAACCACACTATTTTTGAAGCTAAAGCCTGGCTATGTACCTCTCCCTCATTTCCTGTTTCCCACAAGTCCCCCAAGAGCCTTGATTCTACAGACTAAAGAGATCTCTAATTAGCCTGCTTTTTCCATTTCCTCCTCCTAGCCTGTACTAGTAGGAGTTGTTGACATAGAGTAGCAGCCACATTCAATTGGGATTTTAAAGAGAATTAAAGAAAGGGACCAGAGACAGATTTAATATGAAGCTAATGAGGTTTAAGCTGCAGGGCCCTCATTTGCATGAGCTTCTGTGAAGTCTGGGATTTGCTGTGCAATTCAGTACTCTGGATGGGGAGGGACAACAAGTTTTCAATTAGGAATCATTACAGTAAGCATTTCAGATAAATTCCCTAAAGGGATTTCAGGAGAAAGGGATCCACCCTTTTAAGTCTGTAGTAAAATAGTTTTGCTCTCAGATTTGGTGTCTATAATTGTGTACTCCCTTTCTTAAAAAAGGAATTCCAAATTGCACAAATTTCAGGCTCCATAAAACCTATATCTACCACTGGAAGTGACAATTTCAACATGTATGGACAAAGTTAAGGAATATAACAAGTAATATTGAGGCACTTAGTCAAGCAACAATAGGAATTAGTTACAACCCATAGGTCTGTAAAGTCAAGGGGAAAAAATGGTTTTGTTACCAGAAAGGGGTTGTGATCCAGACCCCAAGAGAGAGTTCTTGGATATTGTGCAAGAAAGAATTTAGCATGAGTCCACAGAGTAAAGTGAAAGCAAGTTTGTTAAGAAAGTAAAGGAATCAAAGAAGGGCTACTCCATAGACAGAGCAGGGTGTCCTCGAAAGCAAGGGGAGAAATACACCACCTTAGGAACGATGCCTGTTTATATATAAGATACATAGCAAGAAAGCATGGGAGAGATGTGCTCTACAATTATACAGGGCTCCTCACAAAGGATTGTTGGTCTTTGTGTACCTACTGTCTTCAGCAAGAATCTATATTATTACCTTTAAAGAAGAACTTAAACTAAGAATTGTTTTCTTCATAAGATATTGGTCTGTCCGGGCATGGTGGCTGATGCCTGTAACCCTAGAACTTTGGGAGGCCTAGGTGGGTGGATCATCTGAGGTCAGGAGTTCAAGACCAGCCTGGCCAACATGGTGAAACCCTATCTCTACTAAAAATACAAAAATTAGCCAGGTGTGGTGGCGTATGCCTGTAATTCCAATTACTCAGGAGGCTAAGGCAGGAGAATCACTTGAACCCAGGAGGCAGAGATTGTGGTGAGCCGAGATCGTGCCATTGTACTCCAGCCTGGGTGACAGAGTAAAACTCTGTCTCAAAAAAAAAAAAAAAAAAAGGTATTGGGGCATTAGGACATTTCCTGGATCTGTTAAGTCCTGGATCTGTTTAGTCAACATTACTAACCTGTTCCCTTAGCCATAAACATCCTGTGACTAAGAATGCCTAACCTTCTGGGAATGTAGCCCAGTAGATCTCAGCTTCATTTTTACCCAGCCCCTATTCAAGATGGGGTCGCTCTGGTTTGAACTCCTCTGACAGTTTTATCAGGACTGTGTGAGAGGACAAACTTTAGATGGTGCATTTGGAATATGATCTAAAACAATTCATATGAATTGAAGCCTCTGGAGGTTACCAAATATTTCTTATTTTCTATAGTGTTTTTAAAGTATACTTTTTTATTTTTGATCACTTTTTGACTTATACATTTACAGTGAAGATAGTACAGAGAGTTTTCCACATAACTTAGTTTCCCAGTTTTTAACACTTTATATCAGTATGGCATATTTGTTGTAATTAATGAACCAATATTGATACATTATAATTAAGTAAAGTTCAGATTTCATCATATTTTCTTTTTCTGCTGTTGCAAGATCTCATCTAGGATTCTCCATTACATTTAGTAGTCCTGTCTCCTTACAGTTGTTGTTGGCTGACAGTTTCTCTAATTTGCTCTGTTATTCATGATGTTTTCAGTTTTGAAAAGTCTTGGTAGGATATTCTTCTATTGGGATTTTCCTGATGTTTTTCTTATTATTTGAGTGGATATTATTTTCTTAAGATGAAGACCACAAAGGTAAAGTGCCATTATGATAATAAAATATCAGCAGAAGTACTACTCAACAGCGCTACTATGGTTTGAATGTCCCCTCCAGAATTCAAGTTGAATTTAATTGCCATCGTGAAGGTATTAAGAGTGGGACCATTAATAAATAATTAGGCCACTATGTCTGTACCCTCATGAATGGATTTATATTGTTCTTGTGGGACTGGGTTGTTATGAAAGTGGGTTCAGCCCTCTCTTGCTCTCACTCTTTCCATAATCTGCTTTTGCTTTTCTCCTTTCTGCCATGGAATGACACAGCACAAAGGCCCTCACCAGATGCTGGTACCATGCTCTTTGACTTCCCAGCCTTCAGAACTATGCGCCAAATAAACTACTTTTTTAAAAAAATAAATTACCCAGCCTGTGGTATTCTGTTATAGCAACACAAAACACACTTAGACAAGTACATACTGACAGCATGATTTATCTGTTGATGGTGACTTTTATCACTCAGCTGAGGTAGTGTCACTCAGGAACCTCTATTGTAAAATTATTATTCTTCCCTCCTTTTAATAATGTGTTATTTGGAATGAAGTCATTATGCACAGCCTGCACTTAAGGAATGGGGAGATATGCATCCTCTAATTGAGGTTGAACTATCTCTATAAATTACTTGGAAAATTTCTATTCAGGGCATTATTTGTCTATTTTTTCCCATTTGTTTATATAGCTAATAATGTGTTTATATCAGTATGCACCGAAGGATATTTATTTGATAATTTAAGTTATTATCTCGTACAACATTTTTTGTTGCTTAAATTTGACTCTGATATTCTTTCGGTATACCGCCATCATTGCTGTTTTTTGTTGTTGTTTGTCTATTTGTTGCTGTTGTTGTTTTCAAAACTTTCTGGTACTACATGAAATCCATGCTAATTTTATGCATTTCTTGCTCGAGTCCTAGAATCACCTTTTTTTTCTCCAAGACGGTTTGGTTACATTTTTGAGAATGACATTAAATTAGAAGCCAAGCTATGAAAGTTAAGTATGCTTATTAGTTCTGGTAAAGCAAATAAGCATATGTGGATAGATCAACCCATGTACACACACACACACACATACACACATGTATTTAACTGCATTTTTCTATATTAAACTAAACATGTTGTATTGATGTCTCCAACTCTAATCCATGACCACCTGGATTATTCTGTCCTCTTTTCCTTACTTGCCTATAATCTCTCACTCCAATATTTAGAAATCTTGCCCCATCATTCACCATTTATTTACCTAATTATTCAATTTCAGTGTTCAGTGGTTTCAAAAGTATTAATTTGTATCTCCATGGAAAATCGTTTTATCAAGTAGAGTACGGTGCTTACATACACTTCCTTTTGCCCTTATTTTTAAAAACTCCACTAACTCCAAAGTTACTTGTATTGGTGCCTCATTCCATAACGTCAGTCGGTGAGGTTGTTTTATAAATTTGTAATAGATTTGGATTACTTTCTCACATTCTACATTCCATTCTATTGGCATCACATATATCACACAGAACTTTATGGCACAAGGTGTGAACTTAAATGCACAGCATGTCAAATGTTAAATTTCTTCTATTCACCATTACAGAATAGTTTTGTCACAATAAAATATTCCCTCTGATTCACCTACTAAAGTTCCCCCCATCTGAACCTCTGGCAACCAGTGATCTGTTTACTTTCTCAATAGTTAAGCACTTTCTAAAACTTTACATAATTGGAATTATACAATATATGATTTTTTTCTGAATGACTTTTTAAATATAACAATGGGCAGATTTAAGGTTCAGCCATAATTTTTTGATAGCTTGATAGTTCATATACTTTTTTAATCACTGACTCATATTCTACTCTCTGAATGTATCACAGTTTGTTGTTCCATCTACCTGTTAATAGCCATCTTCTAGTTTTTGATGATTATAAGTAATACTGCTATAAACATTAATGTGCTGGGTTTTCTGTGGATATAAATTTTTAACTGAGTTTTTTAAATACCTGGGAGCACAATTCATGGATTATATGTTAAACATATGTTTCATTTTTTGAAAAAAAATGCCAAACTGTCTTCCAAAATTATTAATTTGTCATCCTACCAGCAATCCTATGACCAACTTATTTTCCTGTTGCTCCACATCCTCCACAGCAGGGAGCATTGTCACTTTTTTGGTTCACATTGAATTCATTCTATTAGATGTTGTTTTAGTATGCAATTCACTAATTAAAAATGATGCTTAGCAGCTTTTCATTTGCTGTGTGCCCATCTGTATATCTTCTTTGGTGAGATGTCTGTTCATGTGTTTTGCCCTTTGTTTTAACTGTTTGTTGTTACATTTTTGAGCTTACAAGTTATTTGTGTATTTTGAGTGCAAGTCCTTCATCATTTGTGCTTATCAAATATTCATTCACAGTATGTGGCTTAAATTTTCATTTTCTTAATAGTGACTTTTGCAGGGCAGACAATTTTTGGTTTTAATAAAATGCAACTTATGACTTTTTTAATTGCTGAATTATGCCACTGTTACTGAATTTAACGCATCACAATATCCAACTCCACATTTTTTTAAATTTTTTTCAAGAGGTTTCATAGTTTCACATTTTACATTTAGGATGAAAATGTATATTTACATATTTACCTCAGACTTTACATTTTGCCTTTTATACAATGATCCATTTCAAGTTAATTTTGGGGTACAATATAATGTCTCTGTCTACACTTTTTTTTTGCATATGGAAGTCCAATTGTATTCCATCATAAATTGCTGAAAATACTATCTTTTTCTCACTAAATTGCCTTTGTTCCTTTGTCAAATATTAGTAGATGATATGGTTTGGCTGTGTCTCCACCCAAATTTCATCTTGAATTGCAGTTCCCATAATTCCCATGTGTTGTTGGGGGCTCCGGTGGAGATAATTGCATTATGCAGCAGTTTCCCCCATACTGTTCTCATGGTAGTGAATAAGTCTCATGAGATCGGATGGTTTTATATGGGGTTTCCCCTTTCACTTGGCTCTTATTCTCTCTTGTCTGCTACCATGCAAGAGGTGCTTTTTGCCTTCTGCCATGATTGTGAGGCCTCCCCAGTCATGTGGAACTGTGAGTCCATTAAACCTGTTTTTCTTTATAAGTTATCCAGTCTCAAGTATATCTTCATCAACAGCATGAAACAGACTAATGTAGTGGTCTAGATGTGTGTGGGTCGATTTCTATGCTTTCTAGTCTGTTTCATGGATTGACGTGTCTATTCTTTCATCAGTTCCACATGCTCCTGATTATTGCAGTCTTATAAAATTGGATAAGGTTTGTCATCCAACATTTTTTCTTCTTCTTCAGTATTACGTTGGTTTTTGTAGGCTGTTTGCCTTTCCACTAAAATGTTACAATCAATTCACCCATATGTATATCCTAGGTTGCTCAGACTTTGATTGAGATTGTGTTGAATCTATAGATTAAGTTGAGGAGAATTGACATTGTAACAATATTGAGACTTCTAATCAATAAACAGAGAAAAAAGTATCAATTTAATTAGAGCTTGTATTTTTTCATAATGTTTTGCAGTTTTCCTTAAATAGGTCATGCATACATTTTCTTAGATTTAAAAGGAAGTATTTTACTGTCAATGTATAGTTCTACTGTAATATTTTTTGAATACTCGATTGCCTTTGTATATTAATGTTAGATTTCACAATCTTCTTGGACTCATTAATTTTAGATGTTTCTGTTTATTCCTTTGAATTTTCTACATGAACTATTATTCCATTACAAATGAGGAAGTTTCTATTTCTTCTTTTTCAATCTTTATACCTTACCACCCTTGCCCTGCTTTTTTTCTTATTGCCCTGGCCAGGAATTCCAATATGATGTTGAATAGAAGCTATGAGATAGGATATTATTGACTTGTTCCCAGTTGTGATGTTTAATTTTGTGTCAAATTGACTGGGCCATGAGATTCCCAGATTGTGTTTAGAGTGGTAGACTGAAGAAAGAATATTTCCTGGCCTAATGTAGGTGAATATCAGCCAACCTGTTTAAGTCCCAGATAGAGCTAAAATATGGAGGAAGATTGAAGTCTTGCTCTCTGTCTGGCTGCTTGAACATTGAAACAACAGTCTTCTCTTACTCTTGGACTGAGACTTACACCATCAGTCCTCCTGGTTGTTAGGCCTTCAGACTTGGACTGAAATATATGGCTGTCTTGGGTCTTTATCTTTCAAAGGGCAGATCCTGGGCCTTCTTAGCTTCCATAATCACACAAGACAAGTTCTTATTATAAATAATATTATTAAAAATAATAATAATATTATGTATTTTTTCTATTGATTCTGTTTTCTAGAGAACTCTAAGACACCAACCTTATAGAAAAACATATCATTTCTCACCAGCTGTAGATTTATTGTAGGTGTATATTATACTATAAATTTCCCTCTAAATACTTCTTTTCCTTCATTGCACAAAGGTAAATATTTTATTTTTATTTACTTCACATTCTTTACAATATTTGTTTGAAACTACTGTTTGATACATTTATCATTTAAAAGTGTGCTGTTAAATCTTCAAATGTTCTGGGATTTCCCAACTATATTTTATGCATTTCTAGTTTAATTGTATTGTTTTCTGAACACATGGTTTTCATGATTTCTGTGCCTTTAAGTTATTAATATGTGTTTTAAGTTATTAATATGTTTTAAGCTATTAATATGTTTCTAACACATTGATAGGCATTTTATGTCCCAGAAAAGAATGTGGTTTCCATTGTTGAATGTTCCATGCAAACTTGAGAAGAATATACATGCTGCTGTTATTGAATGAAGTGGTATTTAAGTATCAATTATACCAAGTTGATTTTTAGTATTGTTCAGGTCAACAATGTCCTTACTGATTTTCTGCTTACTGATATATCACTTGTGAAAAGAAATGTTGAAATTTTATAGCACACTAAGTATAATAGTGTATTTCTCTATTTCTTCTTCAGGTCTAATAGAGCACTTCGATTCTTTATTATTAGGTTTAGGGTTGTTATATATTATACATATTTGGATAATTGTTTCCTTTCTCGTTATGTTGTGTTGCTCTCTATCTGTAATAAATTTTCTTCTTCTGATGTCTGCTTTATCCAAAATTAATACAGTTACTTCTGCTTTCTTTGTATTAGTGTTAGCATGATATCTTTTTCATCCTTTTTAAAATTTTAACCTTAGTTTATATGCTTCAGATGAGATTCTTTTTGACAACAAAGAGTTGCATCTCTGTCTTTTAATGGTTCATCTAAACTAGTCATTTTAAAGCCATTATTGATATAGGTGATTTACTGTCTACCATGTGTGTAACTGTTTTCTATTCATTTTGTTTGTTCTTAGTATATCATTCATAGTAATTTTTAAAAATTTTAAGTGGCTACCCTTAAGGTTCTAATACATTCACTTAACTAATCAAAGTTTATCTTCAAATTATAGTGTATCTATTCATGTTTACTGTAAGTTTCTTAGAATAGAATAGTCGCAATTCCTCCGTTCCATCACTTTTGTCATTGCTGTTATGCATTTCACTTATCCATATATTATATAAACATATGTAACAACAAATTGTCATAATTATTTAAACACAAATTTTATATTTTATTCATAAAAATAAGAAAAATAAAAAATATTGTTTATCATAATCTATTTCTTTTCTCTTGCCTTTATTTCTAAGTTTCAGGCTTGCATTATTTTTATTCCTCTTGGAGAACTTTTATCATTTATTATAAGGCAGATTAAATGATGATGAATTTCCTCAGTGTTTAATTTTCAGAGGATGTCTTATTTTTCCTTCACTTTTGAAAGATAATTTCTCATGATATCTAATTCTAAGTGGTTTTTTAATACGTTAAATATTTGACCCTAATCTTTTCTTGCTTATGGACTTATGATAAGAAGTTTGCTGTAATTCCTAACCTTATTCTTCTCTAGGTATTTTCCCTCTTGTGTTTCCTCAAGAGTTTTTTTTTCACTTTTAGCTGTCTGCAATTTGAAAATAATATGTGTTATTTTGTGAGTGTGTGTGTGTGTGTGTGTGTGTGTGTGTGTGTTTATCATGCCTGTTATCTCTGAGCTTCCTGAGTGTTTGTTTTCGTGTCTATTCTTAATTTTGTAAAGTTCTTAGCCATTGTTCCTTGAAGTATTACTTCTGCTACACTATCTCTTTATTCCTCTTTTAGTATTACTATTATGTGTTTGTTGAAGATTTTCAAATTGATCCTGGTTTTGGGACATTCATTTCTATTTTTGTTGTTGTTATTATTAGTTTTATCCTTTGCATTAAGTTTAAGACAATTCAACTGGCCTAATTTTAAGCTCACTAATTTCTTTTCTAGGCCATGTTCAGTCTACTGATTAGCTATCAAACAACATTCTTCATTTCTGTTACTGTTTTTCATTTCTAGTGTTACCTTTTGATTTTTTCTTATAATTTTCTTTACTTAAATTGTCCATCTTTTAAGTTGTCTACTTTTTCTATTGCAGATTTTAACATATTAGTCATAACTAACTTCTTATCTGTATCATATCTGAGTCTAGTTTGTTTGCTTTCTTTATCGCTTCTGTTCTTCATGGGCATGACTTATAATACTTTTATTGAAAGGCAGATATTTTGTAAAGGGTAATACAATATGTATATTTAATATCATGTCTTAAATATATCTAAGGCATTCCAGGTTTATGTGCTAACAACAAAATAAAGTTCCCCCAAACATGTGCCTCTTCCAATGTTTCCTATGTAGGTGAATGACATTATGATCTATAGAATTGCATATATTCTTATTTATTTTACCTAGTAAAAAATACTGTATTTTTTTTGACCTTCCCTCCATCTACACCACAATACCTGCTCATGCAATTATATCACTCACCTGGAAATCAGCAGTTAAATTTTTGTTTTTCCCACACTAGCCATAGATTACCTGTGCTCCATTTTCCCCATAGCAGTCAGGATAATATTTTAAAAATCTGAAAATGCCAACAAACACAAAAAATATTTTAATTGTTTTCACTCTTTTTTAGAAAAAGACAACTGTTAGGCTGGGCACGATGGCTCACGCCTATAATCCTAGCGCTTTGGGAGTCCAAGGCGGGCGGATCATGAGGTCAAGAGATCGAGAGCATCCTGGCCAACACGGTGAAACCCCGTCTCTACTAAAAATACAAAAATTAGCTGGACGTGGTGGCGGGTGCCTGTAGTCCCTGCTACTCAGGAGAGTGAGGCAGGAGAATAGCTTGAATCCGGGAGGTGGGGGTTGCAGTGAGCTGAGGTCGCGCCACGGCAATCCAGCCTGGCAACAGAGTGAGGCTCCGTCTCAAAAAAAAAAAAGACAAAGAAAAAGACAACTGTTATCCTGATCAATAAAAATCTAACACCCTCTCCCTAAGTGTCTCTTCAGCTTTTTTTCATATCATGCATCCTCATTGTATTCTTTGCTTTGTCATCTCTGATCTTTTACTTTCGGGAGTCTCTGTACTCATTAATAATGCCCCTGCATATCACAGTACACTTCATGTGCTATTTCCTGTGTCTTGGCTTCTCTATGCTGCCCCACTTATTATCTGGTTTTTTGATTATTCAACCATTAATGCATTATATTCCATTATTTGATTTCCACTTTCACTAATCATAATTATGTCAAATCTTACTTCCATAAGTCCTCAAAGAGTTAGTTCCTTTATATAGCAGTAATCATGGATACACATTTATAGTGTCTGTTGTGTTTAATGTGCTTTTCTATCTCTGGATTATTAGTACAAAGTAGGCCAAAGTCACATCTGTTTTTGTTATCAACACTTATAAAAAATCATGACAACTTTAAGGGCTCAATAGTGTTTTGATAAATATTTATACATTAATTTCCTGCTGAAATTAGTCACCAGACTTATACATTTAAAAACTACGTATTGAGCCCTTCCCATACTGTTGTCTCAATACTAGGCATTAAAAATGCAGTGATGCCTAAAATGTACTTATGCATCCTCATGAAACTAGGAGGATCCTCATGAAGCAATGAGTCTAATACATGGCCTAATAGATAGCATAAATATTAGGTATTACTTTTTAGTCTCAGAAGTATATATTAAAAGGTCTGTAAAACAATAGATTATATAAGATCTATCTTGTCTGTATTCACCATGTAATCTTTACATGTAAGTGTTATTCAAACATAAAGAAACATTATGAAAAAGTAAGGCAACTTCTACTTTTCGAGGCATACAGATCTTTATAGGAGTAATCAATTGTATCTGTTTTATCAGGTACCCCTTGAGTCAACACATAATAAGTATGAGAAGAAGAAAAAATGCTAGAAAATAAATACAAAATATTTTAAGTGAAAGAATTTTAATGTACAAAACTAAAATACTGCGGAAAATAAAGTTTCATTTCCTAAAAATTCTGTTTCTTCTCATAACCAGTTCAGAAAACAAAACTCTGAATGTATAGATGTACAAAAGCAATTCTATCAAATGGCAAGAATATCATTATGAAGTTTGCATTTTTCTAGTAGTGAATTTATCAGTTTTACTACTTTACATTGTTGGTCTTCTTATGAGAGCCTCTAGAATTTTATTGGAAATTCAGGAAAATCTTGTCTATCCTATAATACACCATAATTTTCTTCAGTTATTCCTATAAGCTAAGAAAAATATAGTCAGATAATCCAATAACAGAAAATCCATATCTTTCTAATTTTGGATATTACAATTACTATTTTGTATGTTTGAATCCCATGCTCAGATCTTCAGTGTTTTATTTGAAATTCATGAAATTATATACAGCTTGTAATATAGATATTTCTATAATTAGTTATGGAAAGCAAAGCAATATAATACAGTATAGGCTTCTCCAGATGTCCATCCAAATAAAAATCATATTGAAATAGAGGCCCGACCAGGCCTGGTGGCTCAAGCCTGTAATCCCAGCACTTTGGAAGCCCAAGGAGGGTCAGGAGTTCAAGACTAGCCTGGCCAAAAGTGAGAAACCCCATCTCCACTAAAAGTACAAAAATTAGCCGGAGGAGGAGCAAGCCGGACCGGGGGGGGCGGCTGCACAGTCTCTGGGATCCCCAGGCCTGGAGAGGGGGTCTGTGCACAGCCGGCTGGCTCTGTCTCCTCGTCTGGTCCCGAGTAGGCCTCCCTTGGGCTAGCCCGATGTGACCCAGCCCAGTGGAGCCTGAGCAAGCAGCGGGTCCGTCACAGAGCTGGAGGGCGGGAGGAACATGACATCGCGGAGATGGTTTCACCCAAATATCACTGGTGTGGAGGCAGAAAACCTACTGTTGACAAGAGGAGTTGATGGCAGTGTTTTGGCAAGGCCTAATAAAAGTAACCCTGGAGACTTCACACTTTCCATTAGAAGAAATGGAGCTGTCACCCACATTTAGAGCACTGGTGATTACTATGACCTCTATGGAGAGGAGAAATGTGCCACTTTGGCTGAGTTGGTCCAGTATTACATGGAACATCATAGGCAATTAAAAGAGAAGAATGGAGATGTTATTGAGCTTAAATATCTTCTGAACTGTGCAGATTATACCTCTGAAAGGAACTGAAATATGACGTTGGTGGAGGAGAACGGTTTGATTCTTTAACAGATCTTGAAGAACATTACAAGAAGAATTCCATGGTGGAAACCTTGGGTACAGTACTACAACTCAAGCATCCCCTTAACACGACTCATATAAATGCTGCTGAAATAAAAAGCAGAGTTCGAGAACTAAGCAAATTAGCTGAGACCACAGACAAACTCAAACAAGGCTTTTGGGAAAAATTTGAGACACTACAACAACAGGAGTGCAAACTTCTCTACAGCCGAAAAGAGGGTCAAAGGCAAGAAAACAAAAACAAAAATAGATATAAAAACATCCTACCCTTTGATCATACTAGGGTTGTCCTACACGACGGTGATCCCGATGAGCCTGTTTCAGATTACATCAGTGCAAATACCATCATGCCTGAATTTGAAACCAGGTGCAACAATTCAAAGCCCAAAACGTGTTACATTGCCACACAAGGCTGTCAGCAAAACACAGTGAATGACTTTTGGCAGATGAAGTTCCAAGAAAACTCCCGAGTGATTGTCATGACAACAAAAGAAGTGGATAGAGGAAAGAGTAAATGTGTCAAATACTGGCCTGATGAGTATGCTTTAAAAGAATATGGCGTCATGCGTGTTAGGAACGTCAAAGAAAGCGCAGCTCATGACTATACACTAAGAGAACTTGAACTTTCAAAGATTGGACCAGGGAATATGGAGAGACCGGTCGGGCAATATCACTTTCGGACCTGGCCGGACCATGGAGTGCCCAGCGACCCCGGGGTCGTGCTGGACTTCCTGGAGGAGGTGTACCATAAGCAGGGGAGCATCACGGATGCAGGGCCGGTCGTGGTGCACTGTAGTGCTGGAATTGGCCTGACAGGGACGTTCATTGTGATTGATATTCTTACTGACATCGTCAGAGAGAAAGGTGTTGACTGCAACATTGACGTTCCCAAAACCATCCAGATGATGCGGTCTCAGAGGTCAGGGATGGTCCAGACAGAAGCATAGTACCGATTTATCTATACGGCAGTCCAGCATTATATTGAAACACTGCAGCTCAGGATTGAAGAAGAGCAAAAAAGCAAGAGGAAAGGGCACGAATATATAAATATTAAGTATTCTCTAGCGGACCAGAAGAGTGGAGATCAGAGCCCCCTCCTGCCTTGTACTCCAACGCCACCCTGTGCAGAAATGAGAGAAGACAGTGCTAGAGTCTGAAAACGTGGGCCTGATGCAGCAGCAGAAAAGTTTCAGATGAGAAAACCTGCCAAAACTTCAGCACAGAAATAGAAGTGGACTTTCACCCTCTCTCTGAAAAGATCAAGAACAGATGCAAGAAAGTTTATGTGAAGACAGAATTTAGATCTGGAAGGCTTGCATTGTGGTTGACTACCTTTTGATAAGCAAAATTTGAAACCATTTAAAGATCACTGTATTTTAACTCAAAAATACCTGCTTCCCAATTACTTATTTCCTCAGATAAGAAGAAATCATCTCTTCAATGTAGACAACATTATATTTTATAGAATTTGTTTTAAATTGAGGAAGCAGTTAACTTGTGCACTGTATTTTGCAGATGATGGGGATTCAAATTCTAGTAATAGGCTTTTTTTTTTCTTTTTATAACCTTAACCAGTTTAAGTTTTTTTCCTCATTGTGGGGGATGATAAGAAGAAATGATCTGGGAAAATTAAGTAACGACATCCTAGAAAAGTGAGAACAATCTCATTTACCGTCATGTATCGAGTAGTGTATAATTCATTTTGATGGCTTCTATTTTTGGCCAAATGAGAACTAAGCCAGTGCCTGAGACTGTCAGAAGCTGACTGGTCTACTTTTGCATTGGCATTAAAGAGTCATAGGAAAAGAATCATGGATATTTATGAACTAAGATAAGAGGCGTGGCTTTTTTATTTTTTTTCAGTCGATGACCAATTATAGTTCAGCTGTTGACTGAGAAGGTTGTGGTGGGAAAACGTTTGCCATATTTTCCTTGCATTTGAGTAATTGTCTTGTACTTAGAAAAAAGGCATCTATGAATGACCAGTGTTTTTGGTTGTCAAGTATTGCTGACAAACTTACCCTAAAACTTTAGTGGCTTAAAAAATCACCACCCCCAACTGTTCTTCAATCTGAGCTGGGCTCAGCTGGGCTGTTCTTCTGCCAGCCTGCAGGTGGCCCCTCATGTGGTTAGCAGGTCAGCGGAGAGACTGGGATGGCTGGGCTTATCTCTCTGCCTGCAGTCCTGAGTCTCTCCTTCTCCATGTAGTCTCTTTCATGGAGCCAGTGGTGGCTGGCAGGGTACCTAGACCTCTCACATGCAGCTCAGAGCTCCCAAGAGCTCAAAAGCACAGTAGCCAGGCCTTCTGAAGACTTAAGTGCAGAATTGTCACAGTGTTCCTTTTACTGCCCTCTATTGATGATGATGATTTTTTCTAATCAGAAGAGAGCTGGAGTATGCCCTCTACTTACTAAACAAGTCACAAGCCCAGCCCAGATTCAAGAAAAGGGTGTGAAATGGAGTTACAGCTAATTGGGGGGCCACTAGTCTAACAGATGGTCACAACCACAACCTTGGCCATGGAAAACCAAGGATATTAGCAAAAGTAGAAGTTGCTAGTGAACTTGGGAAGCCGAAGTTGCTTACAGTAGCTGGGACAAGCTGAAAGTCAGACTGAGAAATGAAGAAAGGGCCTTCAAGAAGCTTCCTGAATGATTTCTGCCAACCCTGAGCCTATTTTTGGAAACAGCACATGGGGAAACTGATCTTGTGAGGATGGATGTGTTTAGGGGCTCAGGGCTTTTGAGAGCAGCACCACCCCACTGGGGCACCCCCAGACTTGGGAAATGTGACTCTTTCTTAATGCCACTGGTTTTCAGTCAGGCCACAGTGAGAAGGAACAGCCCTAACAGGCCTCCAGCCAGGTTGAACAAGCTCATTTTTGTTTTAGCCAACTGGTAAGATTTGCTAATATTCTACCTTAAGTCCCTTCTCCAAAGACATCCCTTTGCCTCATATGTTGAATCATCATTCAATGCAGATATTTCAATGAAAACATCATTGGTTGTCTTTTGTAACGGTAATAAAATGCTATGGCATCTTTGCCGTGAAGTTATGGTCTCCTTGGATTCTTCTGACTGTGGCTCCTGAAAGGAAGGCCGAGATCCAGCCCTGGTAGTAGTTGCTTTCTGAGGTCTCTCAGTCTCTTGACACTCTAAGGTAGTTTGGCTGCCATTCTCACTGACAAAATACATATCAGCCCCTACCCCGCCCCCCAATATTCATTGAACTTTGAATTGCTTCAGAACACAGGTGTGGCCTGAAGGTATTCCCTTATTAAGGAAATGTTGTGACTGCTGTCTTCTAGTCAAACTTGTAAAGAAAAAGATTTCAGTTCAGTATTTGCAGCAAGAAGCTTGAATCCTGTTCTTTTTATTGCATTGTTACATATACTCACTCTCCATTTTGCTTTGGTTTTGTCTTGACTTGACTTTGGGGGTAAAGTCTTTCACCAGCACACAAGAGTTTGTGCAAATGTATCTCCTGCATTAACATCTCTGCCTGTTGCTTAAGATCAGTTGCTTTTATACTCAGAATGGAAATACCTGATCTTGGCTAGCTTTGTTTGTTACAAGATACTGATTTCATTTAGATTTCCCTCCATGAGGTCAACAAACTATCACGTTCTTATGTGAACTTAGGCCAGGGCCAGAGTTATCATAGACCCTAGATTGCTAAGGCTTATCATGTGTTTGGTAAAAGGTGATCGCAAGTTCTCAGAAGAGTTTACTTTACACGGGATGGAATCAGGCAGAGAGGCTGGGATGATGGAGAAAGCTCGAGGTGCAAGTTTAAAAAAAATTGTGGAAATGCAAGTTCCAAAGAGGTGGTTTCTGAGGAAGTCAGAGAGCCCAGGGCCAGAGCAGTCAGCAATGGGTGAATCAGGTTATTTGGAAAGTCGGTGTGACAGACACATGGATGCCATTTACTTCTAGGTTTCTGGTAGGTATTAAATATGCACAATATTCCATAGCTCACTGAGGATTTTAAAATTATAAGCATAGGATATTATATTTCGCGGTGAAAGATTTATCTGGCACATGGTATTGGGGTTAAAAAAAGCCAAATTTCACAGTCTTAGTAACTTTTTCAAAAAAAAAAGAAAAACTAAAAGGCACTTCGTGTCTAGTGTGTGGCCCTTCTGAAACTTATGGTCATCTCTCCCACTGAAATCAAGGTCTTTTCAAATGTGGCTAATTGGGGATGAGAAAACATGGGTAGGACTTTCTTGGTGTGTGTGCATTCTTTAAAGAGCCCATTTGCTTTGGGGAAGCCAAGAAAATGGTCAATATTATTTTTAGAGGTTATTTTATTGGGGATTTTAAGAACCAATAGCATCTTGAGTTTTTTTAATTCAGGATGATGTGGAAAGGTTTGCAATTTTGAAGTGTTTTGTTGTAGCTTAGTATCCATAAGGGAAACTTAGACTACAGACATAACTACAAAGCCAGTGCAGCTTTTGTTTTCTGTATGTTGTTGGGGAACTCAAGTTTCACATATAGCAAGCACGTGGCCTCCCTGATGTCAGGATGCCTTTGTTAGGATCTGTATTTGCCCTTAATTTTGTTGAAATCTTTTTTCCTTCTTCCTCTTGAAACATTCCAAACTATAGTTTATAGTATCTTTCATCACTAAAAATTTGTTTGTTTTTCACTACGGGCAGTTCACACAAGGCAAAAACCATTGAACAGTTGGTTTTAGTGTGTCGTATAACTTTGCTGTGTATCAAACTAATTTTGACAAGCTTTCATCATAAGCCTCAAATCATGTAATTAATAATTTGCCTGTTTATTTACGACCTAATTGTGATTCTTTTATTAATAAAAGCTAATGGGAAAAGGATCCCTGATTAAGCTGATGACTAGACCTACAATTAATTTTCCTGCAATATATGAAGTATTGTACCAGAGTATTAAAAGATATGTAATATTTATTGATAAATCTATCCTTTAAAAGGAATATGTTTTAGGATGTCATCATTTTGATGTGACTCATGTAAATGTTGATAATATGCTGTTTATCATACATTTAGTGTTTCAAGAAATTCACTTAATTGCTTTTTTGCCCAAGTATATTATGTAGTCTATTTGCAACTGTTTTTTAAAAAATGACATTAAAAGAATAGTTGATGTAGAGAAATATTAGTGAATGCTAATTTTCTCCCCACCTATATTTATGAATGTTAGTGCAACAGCTTTGCTAGTTGCAAAGCTGTATTATCACAGTAAAAGTGTATTTGTAAACTGTATGGGAACTAAAAATTAGGAATAAAACCATTTTCTTATATGAAAAAAAGAAATTAGCCAAGCGTGGTGGCGGGTGCCTGTAATCCCAGCTACCCGGGAGGCTGAGGCAGGAGAATCACTTGAACCCAGGAGGTAGGTGTTACAATGAGCCAAGATCATGCCACTGCACTCCAGCCTGGGTGACAGAGTGAGACTCCATCTCAAAAATTTTATTTCCTTAACAAGTACTTATTTTTTTATTTTTATTTTTTTAAGACTAGTCAAGTGCAATAATGAGAAGGAGGAAAAGAGTAGAACAGAAGTTCGATCTGTGACTGTGAACAATCAATTGAGATAATGCGTTATCTCTGGACAAGCCTCTTCAAGTATTTAATGAACACATTATAATCATATTGAACTAATTTTAAAATTATGTAATTTATATAAACTTATATGTAAATTGCACATACATATACATCTACACAGAGCTTATTCTCAACAAATGTGTATGTATGGGCAAGAAACACAATAAAACTCCTAGGACAAAATGGTACACTGCTGGAATATATTACTGTATTGTGCCTACACTGTGGGATTGTGTACATGATTTCTTATGGAAGTGACAATTGAACAAATGTAAAGGTAAATTTGCCAAATGTAATACATAAAATTATTGTTCCATCTCTTCACTCCCTTCTTGTAATAAAATGATACATCAACACTTGCCATGTGACTGCAGTTCCTCCAGGAGAGAACACAGACCATCCAGCATATCACATTGATGAAGGCTTCACCAAATTATTCTTGTGGCCGATAATAGGATATTAGGAGATGCCATGAGTTTCTGCTTAAAATGTGCTTGTGAAGCTCTTACATTTCTTCTACCATCTGCCTTGAAAAGAGCATAACCAAGGCTAGTGCTAATTCCAGAATGAGGAACTCATGGGGAATATGTAAGCCCATGTTTCTATAAGTAAAAAAGAAAAAAAAAACTTTCTGTAAGCCATTGAGATTTTGAGTTTGTTATGAAGAATTTATGGCAGAATTCTAATAAATACATCAATGGTAGTATCAATATCAGATAATTCTGGAATGAGAAAATTCTGAAATAAGCAATGTGGGAGAAAAATTAAACATTGTGAAGGGTAGAGAATGAAAAATAAACCCAGACAATAACATCTCGAGGTCAAACTCGAGATGTAATAAAAATAATTGCTATTTTTTTTTAATGCAAATCACATGCCAGCATAGGTTAAAGTTTCTCTGTATATTGGTAAGCAAATTCTATTTTGATAAATGTTTTCATTGTGTTTATTTTTTTCATACTACTCTACCTACCTTATATTTACTATATGGAGTTTTGATAGTAATAGGCAGTATATATATTTTTTAAAACCAGTGTGACAAACTTTTAAAAAATATGTTGTTTAATTCATTTATAATTACCCTAATTACTGACGTGTGTTTAAGTAGAGTCTTTTCTATTTTATAATTTTTTCATTCTTTCTTCCATTTTTTGGATGTATTATATGTTTTTTAATCAATTTCCGTTTTCTTTTTGGATAATTTGCTAGTTATTTTACTTTTAGTTGACAACTCATATAAAATTTATAAGATACACTTAACTCATTAATGATAAAATAAAATACAGGACTAATATAAGACAGAGTGTGAGAGTGTGTTTCCCAGAATATTTCCAGATTTCAGACAATATCGGGGTCTCAGAATTCTTAGAACACCTGTCTCCAGTTATTTCCCCATGCCTTTAGTTTTATTGTAGATATGTGCTTTAATTAAGGTGCATGCATATATATAATATGTACTTAATTGTGCATAAGTATTATATACAAAGTTCTACAACATATAATTATTTCCTTAGTCAATTTCATTTAATCCACCTTCAAATTTGCCTGCCACATTCTTCCCTCTGCTTTCTTTATCCCCATGTTTCTATCTGTGATTGTTTTCCAGTGCCAAAAAAATCTTCCTGTAGCATTTTCTTTAATCGGGACTTACACAGCTGATTTCTTCCAGTTTTTGTTTTTCAGAAATTAACAATTATCTTCATTTATGAATGATATTTTCACAAGGTATTGAATTCTGGGGTTCTAGGGTGGCACTTCAATGATTTCAGCCCATTGTCTGCTGGCTTCTATTGTTTCTTTGGGGAAGTTTTTTGAAGGTTACATTCTTTTTTCGGGCTTCTCTAATTCTATTTTCTTGCTGCCTTTATAATTTTCCTCTTTGTCTTTGTTTTTGGCAGTTTTACTGTGATATTTCTGTTTCTTTTCTTTCTTTGGTTTGCTTTCAGTTTGTGTGTGTGTGTGTGTGTGTGTGTGTGTGTTGTTGTTGTTGCTGCTGTTATTGTGTTGCTGCATGCCTGATTATTTTTGCATGAGAGCAAGAAATTATGTATAAAACATTGCAAGATAACTTAAAACTCAAATTGTTTTTTCATCCAAAAATGTTTGCTTCAAGAATCAATTAAACAGTGTTCAGGTAACCTTAATACAAATGGACATTGACTTGCTTTGAAACTGGCTTCACTTACTGTGATTGCCGGCATATTTTCTCTTCACCTAACCTAAGGCATATCCTCTCAGGGGCCCAACTGAAATTTTGGTGTGGAATCCAGGATCCTTCTCCCAGGTTAGCCTCAAATTCCAATTTATGTCCTCTCATCAACTCTGTGCAATTGTCCAAAACGCTGGTAAGTTTCTTACTTCTCAACCACAGATGACTGTTCAGCTTCTCAGATCTCCACCCTCCTCAGAGCAAATCCTTGGCGAAAAAGTGGTTCCAAGTGTCTGCCTCACATCTCTGGGCTTCTCTGCCGTCCAGGAGAGTGCATTTGTAAGGCTTCCACGCTATAGAAGCACTCTGATAACTACAACATAAGGAGTGTCTAAAATTGGATACTGAAGATTAAGATGATGGATAGAAGACAGGACTAAAGTCTGCAGCTCCCATTTGGTCAGACAGAGCAGCACGTGAAGACTCACATTTTTGTGAGTCCTTTGCTCCAAGAACTACCACAGGAACATACTAGGAAAGGTGAGAGAATCCACAGACTCTTTGAAGGAACTGGATCACCCATGCAGGCTACCTGAGATGCCAAAAACCTGAGTCTGCTTGCTTTCTCAATGGCGAGGTTTGTGTTCTGAGGCAAATTCTCTGCCCTAGTCAGCAGTTGCCTGGAAATAGACATGGTACTCTTAGGGGACCACAAGTGGGAGTGAAATTGACCTTTAGGACTACCGACTGCAGAGGAGCAGAGTGAAACCAATGACTCCTGGCTTTTCCCCACCTCCCTGGTGACCTGTATGAGTCAGCAGAGGCAGCCATAATCCCCCTGGGAATATAACTCCATTGAACTGGGAACCACGCCCCATCCCCCACAATAGCCACAGGAAGCCCTTCCCAAGGAGAGGCTGAGCTCAGATATGCCTATCCGTGCCCCCGACCTGGTAGGTCTTTCTCTACCTATGCTGGTAGCCAAAGACAAAGGTCATTATCTCTTGGGAGCTCTACAGCCCTGATCACCATCTGAGATTCCTGAATACTTAACCAGGTGTCC
Organism: Homo sapiens; assembly: GCF_000001405.40. Taxonomy (NCBI): domain Eukaryota; kingdom Metazoa; phylum Chordata; class Mammalia; order Primates; family Hominidae; genus Homo; species Homo sapiens. Next base: position 23,295,956 of record NC_000005.10, on the reverse strand, counting down.
CTAGGGCAAGTTTGCATCCTCCCTATAGGACCACAGCTGATGGACTCTTAAAAGTCCACCTCCTGGCTGGAGGCCAACTAACACAAAACCAGCCCACTAAACAAAAACACAACTGTGGACCCTCACAGAGTCCACTTCACTCCCCTGCTACCTCCACTGAAGCAGGTGCTGGTATTCACGGCTGCAAGATCTGAAGACTGATTGCATCACAGGACTCTTTGCAGACACTCCCCAGTACCAGCCGGGACCCTGAGTGGCTAGACCCAGAAGAGCAAAAACAATTACTACCCAGTTCAGCTCTCAGAAAGCCCCATTTCTATGGGAACAGGGAGAACACCACAACAAAGGAGCACCCTGTGGCACAAAAGAATCTGAATGGCAGCCCTTGAATCCCAGATCTTCCCTCTGACATATTCTGCCCAAATGAGAAGGAACCAGAAAAACAATTCCGGTAATATGATAAAACAAGGTTCTTTAACACCCCCAAAAGATCATACCAGCTCACCAGCAATGTATCTAAACCAAGAAAATAAACTCTGAATTGCCAGAAAAAGAATTCAGAAAGTCAATTATTAAGCTAGTCAAGGAGGCACCAGAGAAAGGTGAAGTCCAATTTAAAGAAATCAAAAACATGATACACGATATGAAAGGAAAAATTTTCAGTGAAATAAATTTAAAAAATCACAACTTCTAGGAATCAAGGACACACTTAGAGAAATGCAAAATGCACTGGAAAGTGTCGGCAATAGAATCAAACAAGCAGAAGAAAGAACTTCAGAGCTCACAGGCAAGGCTTTTGAATTAACCCAATCCATCAAAGACAAAGAAAAAAGAATTTTTAAAAATAAAAGATGTGTCCAAGAAGTTTGGGACTATGTTAATGTCCAAAAGTAAGAATAATTGGTGTTCCTGAGGAAGAAGAGAAATCTAAAAGTTTGGAAAACATATTTGAGGGAATAATCAAGAAAAACTTACCCGGCTTTGCTAGTGATCTAGACATCCAAATACTAAAAGCTCAAAGAACACCTGGAAAATTCATAGCAAAAAGATCATCACTTAGGCACATACTCCTCAGGTTATCTAAAGTCAAGACAAAGGAAAGACTCTTAAGAGCTGTGAGATAAAAGCATTAGGTAACCTATAAAAGATAACCTGACAGATTAACAGCAGATTTCTCAGCAGAAACCCTACTAGGTAGAAGGGGTTGGGGTCCTATTTTTAACCTCCTCAACAAAACAAGTATCAGCCAAGAATTTTGTATCCAGCGAAGCTAAGGCTCATAAATGAAGGAAAGATAGAGTCTTTTCCAGAAAACAAATGCTGAGAGTATTCAAGCAACGAAGAACATGATGAATAGAATGACACCTCACATCTCAATACTAACACTGAATGTAAATAGGCTAAATGCTCAACTTAAAAGATACAGAATGGCAGGATGGATAAGCATTCACCAACCAAGTATGTGCTATTTTCAGGAGAGTAGAAGAAGATATACCATGCAAATGCACACCAAAAACAAGCAGAAGTAGCTACTCTTACATGGGACAAAACAAACTTTAAAGCAACAGTAATTACAAAAGACAAATAGGGACATTATGTAACGATACAAGGACTAGGACTTGTCCAACAGGAAAATATCAGAATTCTAAATATATATGCACCTAACACAAGAGCTCCTAAATTTATAAAATAATTACTATTGGACCTAAGAAATGAGATAGATGGGGGACTTTAATCCTCCATTGACAGCACTAGACAGGTCATCAAGACAGAAAGTTAACAAAGAAACCATGGACTTAAATTATACCTTAAAACAAATTGACTTAACAGATATTCACAAAACATTCTGCACAATGACTGCAGAAAATATACTCTATTCATCAGTACATGGAACATTCTCCAAGATAGACCATATGATAGGCCACAAAACAAGTTTCAGTAAATTTAAGAAATTGAAATTATATCAGGTACTCTCTCAGACCACAGTGGAATGAAACTGGAAATCAACTCTAAAAAGAACCCTCAAAACCATGAAAATACATGGAAATAAAATACCCTGGTCCTGAAGGATTGTTGGGTCAACAATGAAATCCAGATGGAAATCAAAAAATTCTTTGAACTGAATGATAATAGTGACACCACCTATCAAAACCTCTGTGATACAGGAAAAGTGGTGCAAGAGGAAAGTTCATTACATTAAATGCTTACATCAAAAAGTCTGAAAGAGCACAAATAGAAAATCTAAGGTTATACCTCAAGGAACTGGAGTTAAATAGAACAATCGAAACCCAAATCCAGCAGAAGAAAAGAAATAACAAAGATCAGAGCAGACTAAATGAAATTGAAACAAACAGTCCAAAAATTCAGAAGATAAATGAAACAAACAGCTGATTTTTTGAAAAGATAAATAAAATTGATACACCATTAGTGAGATTAACCAAGAAAAGTAGAGAGATGATTCAAATAAGATCAATTGAAAACAAAATAGGATACTACAACCAATACCACAGAAATATAAAAGATTATTCAAGGCTACTATGAACATCTTTACACAGGTAAACTAGAAAACCTAGAGGAGTTGGATAAATTCCTGGAAATATACAACCCTCTTAGATTAAACCAGGAAGATACAGAATCTCTGAACAGAACAAAAACAAGCAGTGAGATTGAAATAGTAATTTTTAAAAATGACAACAAAAAGAGTCCAGGACAGGATGGATTTACACCTAAATTTGATTGGACATTCAAAGAAGAATTGGTACCAATCCTATTGACACTAATCCAAAAGATAGACAGAAAGTTAATCCTCCCTAAATCATTCTAAGAAGCCAGTACAACCCTAATACCAAACCCAGGGAAGGACATAACAAAAAAAGAAAACTACAGACCAATATTCCTAATGAACATAGATGCAAAAATCCTCAACAAAATGCTAGTGAACTGAATCCAATAGCACATCAAAAAGATAATCCACCATGATCAAGTGGGTTGCATACCAGAGATGCAGGGATGGTTTTACCTATGTAAGTCAATAAATGTGATACATCACATAAACAGAAATAAGAACAAAAATCACACGATCATCTCAATAGACACAGAAAAAGTGATTGACAAAGTACAGCATCCATTTAGGATTAAAACCCTCAGCAAAATCAGCATACAAGCGATGTATCTCAATGTAATAAAAGCCATCTATGACAAACTCACAGCCAACATAATACTGAGTGGGGAAAAGTTGAAAGCGTTCCCTCTGAGAACTGGAACAAGACAGGGATGCCTACATTTACCATTTCTATTCAACATAGTACTGGACAATCAAACAAGAGAAAGAAATAAAGGGCATCCAAATCAGTAACAAGGAAATCAAACTGATCAAATTGTTGCTGTTTGCTAATGATGTTTGTATACATAGAAAACCCTAAAGACTCATTCAAAAAGTTCCTAGAACTGGCAAATGAATTCAGCAAAGTTTCAGGATATGAAATTAATGTACACAAATCTGTAATCTGTAGCTCTGCTATATACCAACAGTGACCTAGCTGAGAAAGAAATGAAGAACTCAACCCCTTTCACAATAGCTGCGAAAAACAACAACAACAACAACAACAAAAAAAAAAACAAAAAACAGAAATATACCTAACCAGGCTGGGTGCGGTGGCTCTCGTCTGTAATCCCAGCACTTTGGGAGGCTGAGGTGTGCAGATCACCTAAGGTTGGGAGTTCGAGACCAGCCTGACCAACATGGAGAAACCCCGTCTCTACCAAAAATACAAAATTAGCTGGGCATAGTGGTGCATGCCTGTAATCCCAGCTACTCACTAGGCTGAGCCAGGAGAATCACTTGAACCCAGGAGATGGAGGTTGCAGTGAGCCGAGATCGCACCATTGCATTCCAGCCTGGGCAACAAGAGCAAAACTTCATCTCAAAAATAAAAGAGAAATATACCTAACCAAGGAGGTAAAAGATCTCTACAAGGAAAACTATAAAACACTGCTCAAAGAAATCATAGATGACACAAACATACAGAAACACTTGCCATGTTCATGGATGAGTCGAATCAATATTGTAAAAATGACCATACTGCCAAAAGCTATCTACAAATTCAATTCAATTCCCATCAAAATACCACCATCATTCTTCATAAAACTAGAAAAAAAATCTTAAAATTTGTAAGGAACCAAAAAAGGGCCCACATAGCCAAAACAAGACTAAGAAAAAGAGCAAATCTGGTGGCATCACATTACCTGACTTCAAACTGTATTATAAGGCCATAGTCACCAAAACAGCATGGTACTGGTATAAAAATAGGCACATAGACCAGTGGAATGGAATAGAGAACGCAAAAACAAAGCCAATCACTTAAAGCCAGCTGATCTTCAACAAAACAAACAAAAACATAAAGTGGGGAAATGACACCCTATTCAATGAATGGTGCTTGGATAGTTGGCAAGCCACATGTAGAAGAATGAAACTGGATCCTCATTTATCACCTTATACAAAAGTCAACCCAACATGAATCAAAGACTTAAATCTAAGATCTGAAATCATAAAGATTCTAGAAGCTAACATTGGGAAAAAAAAAACAAAAAACCCTTCTAGAAATTGGCATAGGTAGTCTTCATGGCCAAGAACCCAAAAGCAAATGCAACAAAAGCAAAGATAAAGATGGAACTTAATTAAACTAAAAAACTTCTGCACAGCAAATAAAAATAATCAGCAGAGTTAACAGACAACCCATAGAGTGGGAGAAAAATATTTACAACCTATACATCCAACAAAGGACTAACATCTAGAATCTACAAAGAAGTCAAATAAATCAGCAAGAAAAAAATAAACAATCCCATCGAAAAGTAGGCTAAGGACATGAATAGACAATTCTCAAAAGAAGATATATAAATTGCCAATAAACATATGGAAAAATGCTCAACATCACTAGTTATCAGGGATATGCAAATCAAAACCACAATGCTCTATTACCCCACTCCTGTAAGAATGGCCATAATCAAAAAATCGGGAAAATAATAAATGTTGGTGTGGATGCAGTGAAATGGGAACACTTTTAAACTGTTGGTGGAAATGTAAACTAGTACAACCACTATGGAAAACAGTGTGGAGATTCCTTAAAGTACTAAAAGTAGATCTACCATTTGATCCAGCAATCCCACTACCAGGTATCTACCCAGAGGTAAAGGAGTCATTATACAAAGAAGATACTTGCATATGCATGTTTATAGCAGCACAATTTGCAATTGCAAAAATATGGAACCAGCCCAAATTCCCATCAATCAATGGATGAATAAAGAAAATGTGGTATATATATACCATGGAATACTACTCATCCATAAAAAAGGAACAAAATAATGGCATTCCCAGCAACCTGGATGGAATTGGGGACTGTTACTCTAAGCGAGGTAATGCAGGAATGGGAAACCAAACTTATGTTCTCACTCACATGTGGGGGCTAAACTATGAAGACGCAAAGGCATAAGAATGATAGGTTGGACATGAGGGATTTGGAGGAAAGGGTGGTGGGTGGCGAGGAATAAAGGATTACACATTGGGTACAGGGTGATGGGTGCACCAAAACCTCAGAAATCACCACTAAAGAACTTATTCATGTAACCGAACACCTTCCTGTTCCCCCCAAATCAATTGAACTATAAATACATAAGTACATAAAATAAAACCAAACTATAAAATTGGATCCCATTTTTAGTTTTTACCAGTCAAGTTCTGTCCCATTGCTACAAGTTGAACTCACTTCCCTTTAGCTTTACCTTGTTAAATAACAAATTTAAAATGTATGAAATTATAGAGTAAAGATATTAACAGACAAGTGATTTCTACATTTTGGTGAGGTATGCATTGTATACTACTATAGAATAGATACGTTTTTTCCAATGTGAATTAAGCTCATAATATACTGCAAGGACTTCTGTGATTTTAATCTAAACTACATTTAAAATTATGGAATATGCAATAGATATACAAGGAATACCTCTTGAAATAATGTAACTTTGAACTGAAAGCATGTTAGATCCATATTTGAACAAGTTAAGTTTACAGTCATTTATTTCCAGATTATCCCTTAACACAAAACATCTGTTCTAGAACTAAATTGCTTCATCACAAAAGTATATGCTAATATGGAACTGGCACAAAATAAGGGCTTAGTAATTGTTTGACATAATTAATTTGCGGTTGTTAGCTAAACGCAGGCTCTTCCATTAGAAACTACTCTCGTGTTAATCTCATGTCTTACTCTCAATTTGTTAATTTTAATTTAGTTCCTATTTCATAGCTTTGCCTGTAATAAGTGCTTGATAAGTACCAATTAAAGGAATTTGAGGAAAATTTAAGTGAAAATAATAAGATTGTGCCTATGGTATGTCATATCATTTGGAATGATTTGAATTCAAGTAACAGAAAATGTATTTTCCTGAGAAGAAAATAAAATATTGGAATGCCATAGAGTAGAAAATAAAGATAAATTTTATTATATCAGATTTCAGGAAGGACATTCTGCATGGGTAAGGACTTAATGTCTACATTTTTAGGTACAGAGGTCAGAGTGACTCATCTTCAACTGTCTCCCGCAGATATTCAGTTCAACTCAGGATTTCTAGGATAGACAGAGACACACGTTGAATCAAGTTGAGTCATGTGATTTAATTGTAAATAATATATGGCTGTTTTATATATATATAGTAATAAAACTTGGCAATAGATTATTTTGGAGATATTATATCTGAATATACATAACTATGTACCCAAGTCTTTATTGAGGCAGAGAGCTGTTTTAAGACAGTCAATCAGGATAAAGTTGAATGGCATAAGACTAACCTCTCTAAAGACCTGTAGGGACTATTACCAAAAGATGAGGAAATAGTTGTTTGATTGGCAAGCAGAGAAATGCAATAAGGTATAGTGTCCAAGGCACAAGCACTGGCGCTACCTTTACAAATTGCAAATTCAGACTTAAGCAAGTGCTAGGTTCGTGATCTTTGTCAAGGTTTAAACTACCCCATGCTTGTTTCTCATGATCATTAAAATGTCAACAATAATAATAATAACAACAGCAATATCTGTTTTATAAGAGTGCTGGGTAAATTTAATGAATCTACAGACATAAAATTGTTTAGAAGAGTGTTTGGCACATAATGACTCAAGTAATTATAATTGTTTATATTCCATATGGTTGATTAGTTCTCTGAGTTTGCATGCATTTTTCTGCTTTTCTTTTCCATAATATGAGTTAAAGTTATTATGCCTTCAAGTAACACCCTGGAATATCCAGCATTTTAAAATGTTGGCTCTGTAATCGGATTTGGTTACAATCTTGTGTTTTCCACTTAATTGCTGTGGAATATTGGCCAGGTGACAAACCATCTGAGATAAATTTTATTAGTAACTGAAACTAATATTTACTTTTTTTTGAAGAGGTTTATGAATAAACTAAACAAGATAATACATCAAAAATTCTTAGTATACATTCCAACATTTCTTAAGTGATATAACATTTTATTATTCTGCAATATTTATGATGTCTGATCATTATGGGGGAAACTATAAATAGCCATGAAAGTACTTTCATCCTTCAAAACCGGGCTAGATTTGATGCATTTCTTTGTGGCCCTTACTTTATGTTCTTCTATACATATTCAGGTATACTGTCTGTATGCCAGGGTTTCATTGTACCCTTATAATTAAATTTAATTGACATTTTGATGCTATTGGTATGTGGTGCCTTTAATAGATTATGATGGCAGAGGACTTATACATAAATAGATTCATGAAGTTATTACAGGAGCAGGCTAGTTATCATGAGGGTGCGCTCTTGATTTAAAAAGAAAAAGAGTTTGGCTAAATTTCTCTCTCAGTTGCATGCTCTTCCTTGACCTACTGCCTTCCACCATGGAATAATGCAACACAAATGTCTTCACCAGATGCTGGCACCTTGATATTTTGCTTCCCAGTCTCTAGAGCTGTGAGTCAAATAAACTTTTACTGTTTATAAATTACCCAGCCTGTGGTATTCTGTTTTAGCAGAAGAAAATGGAAAAATGTATTTTACAACTTCATTCTTTTTAAAACAAAACTTTTTTATGTGATAACCTATTACTGAGTTTTATTCAAATGTAATAATATATGTAAATGAGATAAATGTTTTTAAGCTATGTACTGCCTGGTGGATATTAAGGGCATGTTAAATTTCTATAGCAAATTAAATATTTAATTTAAAATTTAATTCAATTATTTTTATAATTCAAACTATTTAATATTTAAATATAAGCTATTTACAATTACATCACATGAAGTTTTTTTAAATATATGTCACATAGAAATTTGTCTTGTAATTAATAAATAGATAAATATCCTTCTGTCTTTAGTATTCTTAGAAACATTGACAGTAGAGTCTATCTGTTGTAGAGGTAATATAGTGTAACCAGAATTCTGAAATTGAAATTTGCTATATATGAAACCAATGGTATACTACATAATTTCTTCAGGGCTCATTTTCCTCATCTATAAAAGGCTAACAATAATAAAATTATACTATAGAATTACAGAAAGAATTAAATGAGATAATTCTTAATGCCTGATGTATAGGAAAGGCATAACAATTATTGTGGTTAAGTTAGTTATTTAATTGAATATTTAATTTATAATCGTTAATTAAATCATATTTAAACATATTTAAATTAATATTTATCCCTAGTATTGGTTAACTCACTAGTACTATGAGTTGCTCTAATCAGTAAATGAAGTTTTTCAACAATTTTTAAATGGGAGCTAGAATCTAACAGCTGCATCTTCACATCCATCACTTATTTCATATCCCACACATTCACACAATATAGTTTTGGACAGAAGCAGGATTCTGTAGCCAGACCCATCAGGCAGTGAAATTTGATTCCCTAATAAATATACACAGAGTTCACATATGAATTCTTGTTTTCCTAATTTTTTTGATTGGACAATACTATCATATGCTTGTCACCACCCACCACTGATAGCTATTTACAATTGGTGGGATTTTTAATAGATGCATAGCTATACTGCAACAGTTAGACACATATTTCTGGTAAAACAGGTAGAAATAAATTAACTATTAAATATTCAGACTAATTGCATCTATGGTGTTCAAGGCTCAAAAGGAAAAAGAAGCCACCAGCTTTAAATAAAAGACTGGCAGTTGAACTCACAATGTAGGTTCTGTATGCCAGTAACTCATTGCATCAGGTGAACCATTTGATATGTGACAACTTTAAGGTGGTGTTAAACTGCAGGAAATTGAAACATTAAACTTCCTGGTAGTTACGAGTCATGATGGTCCTAACAAATCACCGGAGGATATTTCAAATGACATATTATAGCTCATAATCCATCTACCTGAAAGTAGAAAGAGCTGAGGCTTTTGTGGCTGCTTCTTGTGTTTTCATGGTCTCAATGTTTTTCATCATTTTGCACTTGTATGTAGAAATATATGTAGCCATGAAGTGCTAACTGCATGTAGGAGAGATTTGAGAAATTAATTAACTGGAAGCCAAACTAAATTTGTAATACAGGTGATCTTAGATAAAAAATTATACTTCATATTTGTGTTTCTACCCTTTTGGAGGACTTAATATAAACTTGGCATTGTCTGTGCTAACATTCACACAGAAACAAACTGCACTTTCTGAAAATAGGTGCACAGATCCATAAATAAATGAGAAAATAAATTTTCTACATTAAGAGGTCATTTTAAAAAAGAAAGTAATGTTCTATGCTTTGTCTTTCTCTCCCACAGAGACCTGCCTCCATTTGAATACTTTAACATTGATAATATTATTATTATACAATTAAAGCTTTATTACCAGTGAAATCGAGATGTTTTAATGATAGAAATTATGTCATTTCATTTTATGTTAATTACAAAGAGGAAAATTACCTACTATATCTCATAATCTAATATTGCCAAATTTCAGTAAGCAAGATTAGATTCCTATGTAAATCATACCTGAAAATTAAGGACATTTTTCAGTTCATATGATAACACTACATTCTTTTCAAACTGTTTTTAAGAGTTTTCACTCCATTCTATTGCTTTTTTTCCCCTATAAGACTTTGATGATTAACGATTAAGCTTTATTTATTTACTCATTTCTAAACAGCCCAGATTTAATCACTATGATCAGCAAAATCATAGCCAAATACATTTTATTTAAGAGGCCTAAGGTTTTAGAGTACTGATAATGGTGGGTAATTGGCACTCTTTCTATTTAGGGCGACTTAATCTGCTATTTAGAAAAAAGAGAGATGGAAAAAGGCTACTTTCAGAAAATGCTTTGAAAAGTGAAAGGAAATGGCAGTAAATGAAAACAGAAAGCATAATGTTTCTATGATTGGAAGTGAATAAAAGATTTCCAATCTCACAATGTGTTCAAGGTAGTGAGAAAATATGTATTTAATTTTAAGACTATTATTTTCAATATATTCATTTCTTTCCATAGAGATTTTAGACTATTTTTTATTATTCATATCTTTAAAACAAAAAAATATATATTTTTGTAAGGCAGAATGAAAAATATTGCCTCACAGTTTCTATATGTCTTTGAATATTAATATTAAATCTCAATCTTTTAAATAAATAAGAAATAGAACAAGTAGTAATTTTATAAAAGAAAATACCATAATATTCTTAAGTAAACAGAACAAAGCATCATCACTAAAATAAATAAAAACATATAAAGCAGATTGCCCTTATATATATTTGTCAGCACATTTAATGAAATGTTTATTTAATACAAATAAAAGAGTTTATATCAATAAATATGAAATCTTTCAATTTCACAAATAATTACATTTTGAAATATCTTAAAGTCAGCCAAAGGAATTTCTGCAAAATTGTACTGTGTAATTTAATTCACTAAGAAATAGTTTTGCAATCAGTGCAAATACTAGCTCGATGCCTCTTGAGTATAAATATTAACATTAGAATAGAGTGGTTAGTTTCAGGGGTCACACTGGAATAGTGCGCAATCCAGTCCATGAGTGTAAAAGTTTCATTATTATACAAGATTCATTTCATTATCTGAAGAACATAGCCCTGGGGCAATCAACCTTTGAGGGGCCATGTTTAAAAACAGTTTAATCAGCTCTGATGCATTTTGGAAGAATCTGCAGAATTGGCTAAGAGGAAAAATTATTGTTGAGATAGCTTTAGAGAAAGATTTACTTGCAAAGAAAGGTTGAAAAGGGAGCAAGATGGTCCCAACCAAATTTAAAAAAAAAAAAAGCTTTTATTTAAAATGATAATCACAAGATTGCCAGAATTAACCAGGTTTACAAGGAAGCTGATCATGAAGAAAAAAAAATTTACATGATTATCATATCTCATGGTTGTTACAGACCTTTAGACATCAACATTGCAAGTCAGAGTACAATTGGTTTGTGAAATCTAACAAAGATGGAAGTCTCCAAGTTGCATTGATTAAGAAACTATAATTAAACAGTGTGGCCATGTATTTTGTTTGCTTTAGAAGGCAAATTTGGGTTTCCTGACTCTGGGATCTTATGTGTACTCTTATCATCCATAAAGGCAGCAGAAGAAGTTGTCTGTTTTACTTCTACTTAGTCCTTTGACTTAACCTTCTCTCAAAATAATTCAGAGTAGAAGACCTTTAGCTTTTTCTCAGGCCACCATGTTTTTTCAGTTTCATCCTCTTCACTGCTTCTTACCTCTCTAGCCGCTTATCTTCTTTCTTGTTCTTCTATCTCTACTTGACCCCTGAATGTTTTATTTTTCTACTTGTTTTGTTTTTAATTTTTGTTTTGAGTTTTAAAAATTGTTGTTGGCTTTTGGCTCCAATTCTAAACTCTTTGCTTATCCTTCTCCAATATCTTTTTGTATATTATCTCATCTAGATATTATCTCATCTAGATATTATCTCCAATATCTTTTGGTATATTTTTGTATAATATCTTTAATATTGTGGATAAGTTCAAACATGCGTCTCTAACCCCAATCATTTTTTTCTTTATACCCTACGTATATATTTAACTTTATATTTAAAATCTCCTGTTAGATGTCTGACAAAAAGTCTGAAATCGTTGAGGTAGGCCTATAATGGGTATGACTATAACTGTTTGGTAATTAAATTGTTGATTGCCACACTCGTTCCTTTCTTAGTCTTCCCTTATCAGCCATATTTTTTCAGGCCATGAATTTATTCAACCATGATTTTGTCACTGATTTCCATTCATTCTGTCTCCTCAAACATATCTCAGTAAACATATATTCGAGAACACATTGAGAACGTAAATATTTCTCTCAACCCGGACTGCCAAAGTCAATAACAGCAATTGCTGTTGGCTACACAACTGTCATATTTTCTGAATTATTCTCTATGATTCTGAAATTAAATCTATTCTCCATGCAGCATTCTGAGACATATTTTAAGTATTTTACCACATATATAATTAGTCTTTTAAAAACTTCACAGGTCTTCCCATACAATTTAAACTCCTTAATGAGATCTACAAATGTTTTTCTGCCTCTGCCTTGAACTGCCAGTCATAACCACCTCCAGTTCATTTCCATTTTTGTCACGCTTGACCATATGAAATATCTTTACCTTCATGTCCCCACTCTCATGACATTCTTTTCATGTCAAAAAATTATGAATCTTCAAAACATAGCTGAAGTGACTAAAACAAAAAAAATCTTTCTTGCTAATGCACCAACACCCTTAACCTCAGTAGTCTCTTTCAACATACCAGGATTTGCTTTCTTTACACTAATCTGAATTTTCATCTCTTTTGGCTTTTGAACTATAAGCTCCACTTTTTTTTTTTTTCTGAGAGGGTCCATTAAAGACTATGTTGAAGCAAATTGTTCAACTTTTGTGTCCCATGCTTGATATAGTTGCTGTCCATTATATATCAACCCTATTTACATTAAATATGTAAATTAGGAAAATGAAGCATAATGAGTTCCCCACAGTATTATAGAGAACTTTCCATTTGGAAATTGAACAAAGCTTTCTTAAGAGAACATTGCATTTGAAAAATGATGAGACTGACTATAAAATATCTAATGAATAAACCTAAAATGCAATTGAAACCATATAAGGTATATGATTATCCCCAATTAAATTAGCAAGGAGTGCTCTCAAAATGTATTTAAAAATTCTTAAAGCCTCATATGCATATTGGACAATATAAATATTATAAAGGGTATGATTCAAAATCTAAACATTCTTTTGTGACCAGTACCCACGTCAAGAAATGAAACAACACAGAGTACTTCTGTGATATTCCAGAAGACTTCTGATGCTGTCATCCAATCACTACCAAGTTCTGAATTTCTAAGAATATGTTTTGTTTCTTTGCTCATATGAAACTAAAACTTGTGTTATTTGTCTATTTGTAATACATATTTGTGACATCAAAAATTGAAAGAATAAAGGTTAAAAAAGAAGAAAAAATGTCACTGCCCAGAGACAAATTTTGGTATAGATGCTTCTTTTCTAATCATACACATATAATTTTTAAAACAAAACAGTGATTGCATGATGTATATTTAGTTTTATAGTATATGTGAATATATTTCTTGCCATTAAATATTCTTTCCTATATGATTTTGAATGGTCTCGTAATCTTTCATTGAGTGTTTGTGCTAAAATGTATTTAACCTACCTCCAATTGCTGACAGTTTAGACTGTTATAATTTTTTTCTCTGCTATTTGTTATGAACATTTTGATAGTTAAATCTCGGTACACTTGCTTGATTTTTAAAAAATTTTTATTATGGTAAAATACATACAACATGACATTTTCCATTTTAATTATTTTAAGTGTATAATTTAACAGCATTAATTACATTCATTGTGTTGTGCATATTTACTTTCAAAATTTCATTATTCCAAATAGAAACTCTGTATCTATTAAGCTATAACTCTGCCTTCTCCTAAATTGTGATAACCTTTAATCTACTGTCTGACTCTACAAATTTGCATATTATAGATATTGCGTATAGTTGGACTTGTACAGTATTTATTTTTTGGTGTCTGGATTATTTCACTTTGCATGATGCTTTCAAGATTTTTCATGCTGTCGTGTGTATCAGAAATTTATTTGCTTTTGTGGCTGAATAATATTTCATTGTATGTATTATAGATTTTATTTTTTACATAGATGAAATCATGCTAATTTTCTCTTTTGTGTCTAGTTTACTGTGGTTAATTTGATATATGGATATTTATACATATTATACATGCAGTAATAAATTGTTTATTTTGATTATCATATAGTATTCCATTGTGAAAAATATATATGTCTATTTTACTGTTAGGCATTTGGGCATTTTGCAATTTTTTAGCTACTATGAATAATACTGCTATGAAGATTCTAGTATATGTCCTATGGTAAACTTATGTTTTTCTGTTGGATATATACTTTGATGCAGAATTTCTGATTCATATATCCTGTTTTGGTAGATAAAGCCAAAGAGCTTCCCAATGTAATTATATCAATATATGTTATCACCACCGTGAGAATTCTACATCCTCACCAAACTTGGCATTTTCTTTCTTTGCCATTTTTACCATTATGATGAGTATGTAGTAGTATATCACTGTGTTTTGAATTTGCCTTCTCCTTATAACTCCATTAATTCTTTTTACTTTTGCCCATATCCGTATTTGATTTTCTGTCTTCTTTTCCATTCATCTGTTGAAATTGTTTATATATTCTGGATATACAAGGTTGTAGTTAAGTATTGTGTAGTCGTCTCTTATGATGTTCCTTGCCTTTTACCTTTTAGTATGTCTTTTGATAAATAAGAGTTTAGCCTTAATTCAGTCTAATTTATAAATTATTTTTCTCTTAAAATTAGCACTTCTGTTTTCAGTTTAAGAACAGTTTGCTTACATCACAAAAATATTCTATTTTCCTATTTAATTATTGTTTCCTTTTTACATCTAGATCTGCAAATCTAGAATTTCTTTTTTGTACATAGTATGAAGTAGTGGCTAAGATATATATTTTTTCCACATGGATTTGCAATTGTCTCAACACCGTTTATAGAAAACACTCTCATTTCCTCATAGTACTGAACTATTACATTTACCTTTAATCAAGACTTCCATATTTACTCCTATTTTTAGATTTGAGAAGTATTGATTTAAGAACTCATATTTAACTTTGTCACAATGTATAGTCTGGAGGGTGGCTATTATTGAGAAGTCACACTAGCAGGGAACATAACCCAACAAATACACAGCATAATGGTGATTGGAATGGGATAGAGAGGAAAAATGTACTGAAACCATAATGCCAAACTGATTTATGAACTGGTTGCATATAGGACATGAACAATTAATGCAGTAATAAACTTTAAGATGAACAAATCAAAAGAGAAAAATATTTTTTTTAATGAACATAATGTTATAAGTTGTATCCATATTGTGTATAAATTTCTTATTAGCAGTATTAAGAGATTGCCTAGTCACAATTAAAAAAAAATGCCCCAAGCTCAGATGAAAGATAATTTGCATAGAGATAGATGATTATTGAAGTTTTGATATTGGAAGAAACTCTGAAATTAGACAATACATACAGTAAAGTAATAAAATTAATTTAATCATCCTCCTTGTGTCCATTCATTCTTCACAAGTAGTAATTACTACAGACAAGTTTTATGAGCCTGAGGTTGGTAATAGATTACCTATTTATCAGAAATCAATTAGGGATGATTTTATTTTACATTTCATATTTGCCACATAAAACATTATGCATAGATCGTTATGCATGATTATAAAAAGAGATTATACTTACAAATCTTCTATAACAATTAAATTTAAATCCAGTTTTATTAAAACTTTGGTGATAATAAACATCTTCACTAATAATGACAAAAAGTATTTTGTTTGCTGCCCTTTTTAGAAGTCAACATACTAAATATGTGCCCATTCCTTGAGTAACTTCTAGAATGTGGCATTGATTTATGCATAATTAGGGCAGGCAGCTACTCTATTAATGTGATTTGAAGGATTCTAAGAAAATCCCCTTTGAATAAATTAACTCCTAGTTGAATCTTTTAAAATTCCCACCATTAGTGTTTTTCTCTGTAGACACTTTATAGGGGATGTATACAGAGAGTTAGGCATTACATTCCCTTGGAGAGGTAACACATTATCTGGCTAATGAATTAACAGAGAATAATTGGTTGGATTTACCACCACTATCCCTATTCATACATTAGATGGATCCTGAAGGGAATAGGAAAGTAGAAAAATGCAGATCATCAGCAACACGAAAAGACAGGAAAGTCAGTGAACAAAGAAGCAGCATATTTTTATCTAAATGTTTGGATTGTGGCCAGAAAGCCCATGTGAAGACAGTCTGCTAGTGTTTGCATGTGTATACACATATTTATTTTATTATAGTATTTCATACTGTGTAAACATGGATACACATATACATGTATAAACATATTTATTTTATTATATTTCATATTGTATAAACTGTAATACAATTTAATTCTATCAATATATTACAAATATATATGATATTGACACTTATCTAACACATTGCAGTTTCTGAGTCCTTACAAATTAAGTACAATTTTCAACTGTTTGAAAATTTTACACTATATTGCGATCTAAAAATTGAATAATAGTTTTCCTATCACATTGGAAAACAATTACATACATTTGCCTTTATAAAATTTATTTTAATGAAAACTATTGTTTGATTACTATTTATTCTTCTTTGAATAGAACATTACTGAGAAATGAATGATGAAATAAGCATGTGAAGGTACAAAGAAGAATGGACAGCAATCAATCTTTTAGAGGGTTAATACTTTTACTTAAGGAGTATTATGACAAACTTTAAAATTTTACATTTAATAGAAAATGTCACTTTTTTCTGTATGCAAATGGCATTTTTTTCCTCTTTGTACGTTTTAGTACAGTCACTCTGAGAAAACAAAACAAAATATTTTGTCACACCATATTTTTATTCTATGTCAATGACTATTATCACTCTGGTCTTTTTTTTTTAATCTTTATAAATTTAAGGTGTACAAGTGTAATTTTGTTACTTGGATATGTTGCATAGTGGTAAATCTATTTTTTCCTTACGAGGTAAAACTTATATTGAAGGACTGTTTGCTGGGCTTGGTTTTAACTATCCTTCATCATCTATGCTTTCTTTCTACAAAGTAACATAAACGTGAATAGCTTTAAAGATATCTCTGTAGATCACATCTCACGAATGTAGATGTTACTCTTGACTTTTCTCTCTTGGGCTATAAACTTCACTGTCTGCCTATGTGAAGTATTCACTTAGAAGCCAAAATTTAGCACCCACAAAAATCTCTAAATTTTTTGTACTGTGTTAAAATGTTCTTGCATTGCTATAAAGAAATACTGGGCTGAGCATGGTGGCTAACATCTATAATCCCAGCATTTTGGGAGGCCAAGGTGGTGAGATCACTTGAGCTCAGAGGTTTGAGACCAGCCTTGGCAACATGGCAAAAACCCGCCTCTACAAATAATACAAAAATTAGTTGGTGTGGTGCTGTATGCCTGTAACCCCAGCTACTTAGGAGGCTGAGGTAGGAGGATCACTTGAATCCAGGAAGCAGAGGTTGCAGAGAGCTGAGATTGCATCACTGCGCTCCAGCCTGGGTGACAGAGCGAGACTCTGTCTAGAAAAAAAAATAAAAATAAATAAATACATACATATATACATACATATCTGAGACTGGATAACTTATAAAAAAAATTAGACTTATGGTTCTGCAGGCTTTACAGGAAGCATGGTGCTATCATCTGCTCAGCTTCTTGGGAGGCTACAGGAAACTTATCATGATGGTGGAAGATGAAGGTGGAACAGTCACATCACATGGCGAGAATGGGAACAAGAGACTAATGGCGGGGAGGTGCCATACACTTTTAAATGACCAACTCTTGTGAGAACTTACTCCATTTATGGGAACTCCACCTCCATGATCCAATCACTTCCCACCAGGTTCAATTTCAATGGCAGATTTTGATGGAACAAATATCCAAAGTACATCATTCCACTCCTGCCCCCCCGAAGTCTCATGTCCTTCTCACATTCAAAACACAATCATGCCTTCCCATTAGTCCCCTAAAGTCTTAACTTATTCCAACGTGAATTCAAAAATCCAAAGTCCCAAATCTCATCTGAGACAAGGTGAGTCTCTTCTTCCTATGAGCCTGTAAAATATAAAACAAGCTATTTACTTCCAAGATACAATGGGGATATAGGTATTGGATAGACATCAGTATCCTAAAAAGGAGTAATCTACCAAAAGAAAGGAGCTACAGGCCTCATGCAAGTTTGAATCCCAGTGGGGCAGTCATTAAATCCTAAAGTTCCAGAATATTCTCCTTTGACTTCATGTCCCACGTCCAGGGCACACTGGTACAAGAGGTAGGCTCCCAAGTCCTTGAGCAGGTCTGCTTCTGAGGATTTGCAGGGTGCAGCCTCCAAGGCTGCTCTCATGGGCTGGAGTTGAGTGACTGTGGCATTTTCAGGTGTAGGGTGAAAGCTGCTGGTAGATTTAACATTCTTGGGTCTGGAGGATGTTGGCCCTCTTCCCGCAGCTCCACTAGGAAGTGTCCTGGTTGGGACTCTGTACAGAGCCTCCAACACCACATTTTCCCTCCTCACTGCCCTAGTAGAGGTTCTCAGTGTGGGCTTCACCCTGGCAGCAAGCTTTTGCTTAGACATCTAGGATTTTCCACGCATCCTTCAAAATTGGTGGAGGCTGCCAAGAATCCACCAGTCTTGCACTCCGTGCACCTGTAGGTTTAACACCACATAAAAGCCACCAAGGCTTATGGCTTGCATTCTCTGAAGTGGCAGCCTGTGCTGTACTTTGGCCTCCTTGAGCCATGACTAGAGCTGGAGCAGTAGGGATGTGGGGAGCAGAATCCTGAGGCTGTGTAGGGCCATGAGGCTCTGGATCTTGCACACAAAATCATTCAGTCCTCCTAGGTTTCCAGGCCTGTAATGGGAGGAACATCCATGAAGGTCTCTAAAATGCCTTTGAGGTCTTTTTCGCATCAGCTTGGATATTAGCATTTGGTTCTTTTTTTAATTATGCAAATATCTCTAGTGAGTGATTGCTCCACAGCCTGCTTAAATTTCTCACCTGAAATTAGGCTTTTGTTTTCCACCACATGGCCAGGCTGCAAATTTTCCAAGCTTTTATGCTCTGCTTCCTGTTTAATATAAATTCCAACTGTAAGTCACTTATTTGCTCATGTGTCTGAGTACAGGCTGTTAGAAGCAGCCAGATTTTGAATTCTTTGATGCTTAGAAATTCCTTTTGCCAGATATCCCAAATCATGATTCTTTAGTTGAAACTTCCACAGACCCCTGGAGCATAAATAGAATGCAGCCAAGTTTTTTGCCAAAGCATAACGTGTGACCTTCCTCCAGTTCCTAGTAAGTTACTTACCTCTATCTGAGCCCTCAGCAGCCTGGCCTTCACTGTTGGTATTACTTTAAACATTTTGGTCACAACCATTTAACCAGTCTTAAGAAATTCCAAACTTTCCTTCATCTTTCTGTCTTTTACTGAGCCCTCCAAAGTCTTCCAATCTCTGCCCATTACCCAGCTCTAAAGGTGCTTTCACATTTTCAGTCTTGATAGCAATGTCCCATTCCTTGATACCAATTTTTCTGTGTTAGCTGTTCTTGCATTGCTGTAAAGAAATATCTGAAACTGGGTAATTTATAAAGAAAAGAGTTTTAATTGGCTCACGTTTCTACAGCAAGCATGGTGATAATGTCTACTTGGCTTCTGGGGAGTCTTCAGGAAGCTTATAATCATGACAGAAGACAAAAGGGGAGCACGCATGTCACAAGGTGAGAAAGGGAGCGAGAGAAATGACAGGGGAGGTGCCACACTTTTAAATGACCAGATCTAAAGAGAACTCACTTTATTCATTAAAACTCTGCTCCCCATAATCCAATCACTTCCCCCAGGCCCCACCCCAAATATTAGGGATTAAATTTATACATGAGATTTGGGCAGAAACAAATATCCAAACTATATCATACACCTTCAACTTTCACTGTTCTACTCTTCCCCATTATAGTACTATCCTCTTGTGAGGTTCCAATGAGAAACTTAGAAGTCACTCTTAATATCTTTCCTTTTTTCTACAATTCAATTAATCAACAAATGTTGTAGGAAGTTTTCCACATAACTGCCTTATTATTTCTCCTGTTCTTTCCTTTAGTCCAAAGCTTCATTGTATTCAATGTGTACTACTGCAGTGTATAATTATTGTTGTATCTGTTTTAGTTTTTTGTATACAGTGACGTGGTGTGAAAAAAATCATTTTTAATTGGCTCTATGAACAAATGTCAGACAACAAGAATAATATTTGAGGACAGAATAATGACAATCAATTTTATGTCATAATGAAATATTTGGTTGTATTTTTGCCTGATTTAAATAGGAAGGCAGGCAAATAATAAATTTTTTAAAGTTTTAAATAAAAAGAATTTGTAACTTTGGAGGTAAAGTGTGGAAGAAATAATTTTAGTACCATTGGCAACTTCAATCAGTTTCTATAGTAAAATACAAGAAGACATGGAGAAATCTAAGAAAAAAGTAACCAGTTTGGAAATAGACACAATAGGAAGGAAGTACAGCGAGCCTAGATATGCAGGATTGAAAATGAAGACCAATTCTTATTCCAATTCATTAAAAAAACAAACAAACTATAAATGCCTTTTGGCCTTATCACTAATCTTTATGACAGGATCCAAAAATCTTAGACATCTTGCCCATTGATAAAATTTCTATGTGGAACAATCATTTGCAGTAAATACTATCAGTTAGCAAAATGGCTCATGGAAGAAAACTAAGGTTGTGGTATTCCCAAAGAATCCCAAAAGAGAGAAAGAAAAAGATGACTGACTGTTTAGCTGGCTAAATCTACTTGGGACTGTGGTACAGAGTCTATCAGTGTTCTACCCATATCCGCCTTGCATTGATACTTAAATGCATACTAGCCCATCTTTCAGTTACTTCCACATTGCTCGAGGACGTTCACTGGCCTGGAACCCTTTCAGTCCTTATGTAAGTCAGGCCAGAGATGCAGGAATTAACAGTCTTCTGAGAGTGGCCCACATGCAATGGTGGTTTCTGCACAAATATCCCATCTTTCTTGCTTCTTGGGAGGAATAACTCTGCGGAGCAAGTTGCACACCATCTCTTAGGTTTCCCCAGCGGAGTTAAGCTCCAGTTGTAACTTTCTCCATAGTGTTGCTTGTACGTATCTTTCCCTCTTTCCCTTACATATCTTACTTCCCATTCAACTGTTAGGGACTCCTAGAAACATCTTTGCAGTAAACTACTTCAATCTTTTTGTCAAAGTGTCTGCTTCTGGGAAAAATCTGAATTATGGCTATTGGTGCAGAAAACGATCCTAAAAAACAAAATGTCATGATGGAAATTTGAAATTGAATATCTTGCCAGCCACATGGCAACAAGGACCATGTTGCTGACAGTCAGTGAGGTGACAAATATAGCATTACAATACTAAAACACTCACATGTTAAGACTCGCACACAGGAAATTAGGTTGTGATTCAGAACAGATGGAAATGCACTGATCCATGGAACATGTCTCGCATTTGAGAAAATGGGAGCAATGTGAATGATGAGATTCTATTGATTTTTAATCAAATTGTGGGATTGTGTTTGAAAAAAAAAAAAAAAAGATAAAGCAGTATTGAGCCCCTGGTGATGATGTATTCCCCCACTGAAGTTTTGTGTTTGTCCTTGATTCTGCCAGGAACTTCAGGACAAAAACCGGAAACTCAGGCTAAAAGCAGACCAAGTATATCGCATCAACAACTGATGTAATTTGGATCTGGGTTTTATTCTTTATGTGAGTTTGTTTATTTCTAACTTGACTAGTTTGTATATCTTCAAATTGCACATTTTTCTTGGTGAATTATAAACTTCAAGTTTTTGTTTCCTTGACCTATGTGCTCCTGAAACTCCGTTTCACTTCTCATCCACTCATCCTGTGAACTTCTTAGAATGGTAAAATTAGAAATTGAATTTACCGGCCGGGCGCGGTGGCTCACACCTGTAATCCCAGCACTTTGGGAGGCTGAGGCGGGCGGATCAGGAGGTCAGGAAATCAAGACCATACTGGCTAACACAGTGAAACCCTGTCTCTACCAAAAATACAAAAAATTAGCCGGGTGTGGTGGCGGGAGCCTGTAGTCCCAGCTACTCAGGAGGCTGAAGCAGGAGAATGGCGTGAACCTGGGAGGCAGAGCTTGCAGTGAGCCGAGATTGTGCCACTGCACTCCAGCCTGGGCAACAGAGCGAGACTCCGTCTCAAAAAAAAAAAAAAAAAAAAAAAAAAAAAAAACAGAAATTGAATTTACCTGCATTTTTCTTCTTTTGCAAATTTTACTCCCTGAAGCTTTCAACGTTAGAAGTTCTTTGATGAGTTTAATGAGATATTTTATATTTTTTATGCAGATTTTCTAGATGTCCTTGAATGTATGAGTGGTCTATTAAGACCTAATATTTTACAGTAGAAAGAAAAACAGTGTGTGTGTGTGTGTGTGTGTGTGTATATATATATATATATATGATAGTGTGTAAGTATATATATGAGTATACATAATTTTAAATAAACACATGTTATCACTTAATGTAAATGAATAAACTTACTAAAAGTAGGTGTACATTCTATCTGTCCTCAGAAACTGTCTGATTACTTACCCTGACTACATACTCAAGTTAACTTATAATACTTTATAAATATCCGCTTAACTGAGTAATTCTCTCTAGAAGTATGAACAAGTATAGTGTAGTAATAAAGATGTAAGCTCTTTAGTCATAGTCCTTGGGTTCAAATCTTAGCTTTAAATTTTTCCAGCTCTATTTCCTGGAGCAAATGAATAAACCTGCCATTGCATCAGGTTCTTCATTTGTAAAATGAGAGTAATAAAACTTGATGGGGCTTGAACAAGAATTAAATAATATAACACAGGAACAGTGCTTTGAACAAGGCCTGACACATAGAAAGAACACAATAATTGCAGGCAGTTAGTAATTGTATATGTACGTTGCCTGCTACAAATTAAACTTTGTCTTAAATATAACATGTTTATAAGTTTATTATTTATTTGATTAACAGAAATACCTTCATCTATTCTCTGTTTTGTGAGACCAGGTAATTCACACTCCATACTAATCAATTTTTTAACTAGACCATTTAAGGTATTATTAAAAAGATAGCTATGAGTTACATATTAGCTAAATATAAACTTTTTTAAACTATTGAACTACAGAAGTGATAAATCTGTATAATATTTATCAAATAAACAATATAATCTTTTTCTAAAAAATGCCCTGCCTAATACTAATACCCTTTGTACTATTGTAACAAATGTAAATTTAAACAACACATTCCATAAAGATACCTGAAATTACACATCCTGCTGTTTTGATACTAATGTCTAAACTTTTATGCCACTTTCCTTTTTAGTGACTCCTTTCTATTATTTTATTTTAAAAAAAACCATTTCAATTGAGATCAAATTTCTTAGAAAGTACCACAAATTGGCTGGGCACAGTGGCTCATACCTTTAATCCCAGCATTTTGGGAGGGTGAGGCAGGTGGATCACCTGAGGTCAGGAGTTAGAGACCAGCTTGACCAACATGGCAAAACCCTATCTCTACTAAAAATACATAAATTAACCAGGCATTGTGGCATGCGCCTGTGGTCCCAGCTACTCGGGAGGCTGAGGCCGGAGAATCACTTGAACTCAGGAGGTGGAGCTTGCAGTGAACCAAGTTCTCACCACTGCACTCCAGCGTGGGCGAGAGAGAGAGACTCTATCTCAAAACAAAAACAAAAACAAAAACAAAAGTATCAGAAACTATTAATATACTAGCAATCTTTTTTTAATCTTTTACATAAAAGTAAGCTTACTGAACTTGACCTTATTCTTGACACAGCTTAAAACATTGAGAAAACAGTGACGTGGGCTTCATAAATAATAGCCCACCTCAAATGACCTAATTTTGTAATCGACTATAATATATTTTCCTCACGTTTCTTCACAAAAGTGATAGAAAAAGGAAGATTCTGAGATTGTTATTGCATTGTATTCTGTTGCTTTAGACAACATTCCAATCTCTTATGAAGTTGCAACCCTACCAATTGTCTTTAATGGCCGGTTTGCCCTTAAGAAGCAAATTCTCAGATACACATTACAGTCTTAAAAGAATTTGGAAACTGGATGTTTTATATAAACTCATTAGGTGTTATTAAAATGAATTAAAAAGTCAAAAAATAAAACACTTATACCCTATTTCCTATTGGGTAAACCCAACCATATTTATCATTCTTAGTTGATAAAATTAACAAATTTTATCTTTTAGCTGCCTAGATTCGTTATTTTGTTTTACCTTTAAAAACTAATATGAAAGAATTAAATACAGATAATATTTAATTAGAAATAACTTTTCATAAATTGTCTTTTTACTCTTACCAATTAATATTTGAACTAAATATTTGAATTTAAAAAAATTTTTGATAATTATTGCAAAGTAGTCAAATAGGTTTGATGAAAATATAATTGTGTTGTGTCTAGCTATATAATCTTTTTCCTACCGAAATCCCATAAATCCCATAGGTTATGAAAAACACATTTAAATTTCATTATCTCTACATACATATGAGATTTATCTAAGATAGATATATTTTTGCAGTCAATTTCTGATTATCTACCCTAATGAAGGAAAATATTAGTGGGAATAATACCTACTGAGGGGTAAGCTTTCACTGATTCTCAGTTGACATTCTAAGCTTTAGGAACTGAAACAACAAACAACATCAGGATCGTAACAGAAGTATGAATATTAAATTTTAAAACACTTCTTTTTGTTTCCAAAAGCACCCCTTTCATATTTACAATCTATACAAACTAAAAGTATTGTTCATACTATATTTTGTACAGATTGTAAATATACAATATAATGTTGCTCCTTTTCAAAGTTCTATCACAATTAACTACTAGTGGGAATATCAGGTTTGTTTTTGTTGTTGTTGAGACAAGAGTCTTGCTCTGTCACCCAGGTTGGAGTGCAGTGGTGTGATCTCGGCTCACTGAAACCTCCCCCTCCGCTGCCTCCCGGGTTCAAACAATTCTCCTGCATCAGCCTTCTGAGTAGCTTGGATTACAGGCATACGCCAACATGCCAGGCTAATTTTTGTATTTTTGGCAGAGATAGGGTTTCACCATGTTAGTCAGGTTGGTCTAGAACTCCTGACCTCATGATCCGCCCACCTCGGCCTCTCAAAGTGCTGGGATTACAGGCGTGAGCCACCACGCCCAGTCGGGAGAAATTTGGAAATCTCTGTTATTGTTTAAATGTATTAAAATTCAATGTTTAGATAATTCAAATATAGGCTTAATCGAAAATGCTTATAAAGATTTTTGCATAGGGATAATAAATAGCACCTTCAAAATGTGATGAGATACAATAAATATTGGTATAGCTATAGGATGTGTATAGCGGTCTTTACTCATTTGCAGGTTTGCAAACAAGGGTTAACTACAGTCTAAAAATATTAAATGAAACTTTCCACAATTTAAAAATTAATAAGTATTAAATTGCATGCCATTCCAAGTAGCCTGATGAAATGTTGTACCATTCCACTTTGTCTTGCCCTGGACATGAGTCATCTCTTTACACAGTGTATCCAAACTGTATATGTAACCAGCTCGTTAGTCACTTAGTAGTCTTCTTGGTGATCAGACTGACTGCCATGGTGTCCAAATGCTGGTATTAAAGGAACTCATATTACTTAATAATGATCTCAGAGCATAAGAGTAGTGATGTTGGTAATTCAAATATGTCCAACAAAAGCTGTAAAGTGCTTCATCTAAGTTTAAAATTTAGATTTTACCCAATTATGAAAAAAAATCATATGCTGACAGTGCTAACATCTATGGTATGAACAAATCTTCTATCCATAAAACTGTGAAGAAGCAAAAAGAAATTTGTGTATAGCATACGTAGTCATTCATCATTTAAAGATGGAGATACCTTCAGAGAAATGTGTTGTTAGGTGATCTTCGCCATCGTGTGAACATCATAGACTGAACTTAAACCTAGAGGGTATAGCCTGCTACGACCTCTGTTACATGGTACAGCCTATTGCTCCTAGGCTACAAACTTTTACAGCACGTTACTGTACTAAATGCTGTAGGCAATTGTAACATGATGATATTTATGTACCTAAACATATCTAAACATATAAAAGGTACAGTAAAAATTTGGTATAAAATATAAAAAAAAAACACCTGTATAGGGCAGCACCATTATAATCTTATGGAACCACCATTGTATATGCAGTCAGTTGCTAACAGAGCATTACTGTATAGGGCTCAGTATCATTTTAGGTTTCGAGCATCCACTGGGAGTCTTGGAACATCATCCTTACCGATAAGAGGAGACAATAGTGTTGGTTTTTTAGTGTTGTTGTAATACATTACCAAAAACCAGATAGCTTGGATCACAGATTTTCATTCTATACATTTCTAAGGGCCAGAATTCCAAAATCAAGACATTGGCAGTGTTAGTTTCTTCCAGAGGCTCTGAGGGAGGACCTATTCCATGTCTCTCTCTGCGCTTCTGGTTAGAAGCTGCAATCCATGATGTTCCTTGGCTAGTAGATGCGTCACTCCAATCTCAGCCTGTCCTCACAAGAACCCTGCCTTTGGGTATTGTTTTGTCTGCTTTCCTATAGGACACATATCATTGTGGATTAATCCATGGTTAATCCATGATGATCTCATCTGGAAATACTTAATTGAATTACATCTGCAAAGACTCTTTATTCAAACAAGTTCACGCTCAAAGGAAAAATATTTTGGGGGAGCTATTATTCAATCTAATATAGAATAGAATAGAATAGAATATAGTCTTTAAATATTTTGAGTAATATTTAACAACATGTAAAAATATTAACTGTGGAATGTTACACCAAAACTAGATATACAACATAAATATATTTTGTCTTTCTGCATACTAGAATATGAGTAGTATAATATTATCCAGATTTTATATACAAATTGCTAGATGGCAATATAAACAAATGATACTAGTGTTGTGGGACCTCAAGGGAGTGAGGACTACAGATGCATTTTTTTCTTTTAATTGTGTTTCTCACATGTTTTCAAATAACCATGACTTACTTTTATAACAATTTAAGTTATAAAGTAATGAGCTATTATATATTTTAGTGTTATTCACTGTATTCATTGCGTTAATATTCTTAATTTAAAATATAGTGTTAAATCAAGTTTAACCTAAAGCTGCCTCCTTACATATTTTAAGCTTGGCCTAAAGGCTTTTCTGTACATCGTGAACTGTAACAAGTGGAGGTGTAAACATACCATAGCCTACACTTGTGCCAGTCACAGAGTTTTGGCCAAGCAAATGTAGCCAACTGTTCGAGCCATGTTCAAACAAGGAAAACACCGAGCAGTAAGCCATCCAGCTGTTTCTGTACCTCACTTCCATTTTCTGTCCATAAATCTTCTTCCACCACATGGCTGCGCTGGAGTCTCTGAGCCTACCCGGGCTTGGAAGGCTGCCCAATTCGCGAATCATTCGTTGCTCAATTAAACTTTAAATTTAGTTCAGCTGAAGTTTTTCTTTTATCAAGAGTAAACAGATACATATGCATTTGTATATGCGTGTGTATATATGCATATATACACGTAAGTGTGTGTGTGTATTCATGTGTATATACATATATTTTGATCACAAATTTAATTTTGGTCACAAACACTGACAGTTACAGTGAAATCACATAAAAAAGGCTAGAAGCAGAAGTTTTCATGTTCCCTTAGGAATATTCTGTGAAATGTATTAGTATTAGTCCCTAAAATCTAATTGTCTTTAAATATTTTCTAAAGTTTTGAGGTCTTAACTACTAAAGACCTTGTTGTGGCTATTTGTAATTACATTTGTTAATTAAATCAAAATACTATATATGAGAGGCCGATATTACTTCTGACTTTGAGCATATATTAAAACTACTTTTTTGATTTGGGATGATACTTGTAAATCTGATTTTTTTTTTTCCCTGAATGAAGCCTTGGCAGGATATAAAGTCATCTTTGGTGAGTAATTTATATGGATTTATTGCTTCACAAACCTTTCATCTCTTTGCCTACCAAGCAAAAGCAGGAGACTTGGGCTCAGGTTCAGTCCTTATGGATTACAGGATGTATGCCCTTGGGTAGTTTATTCCTTCATTTTTGTTGCAGTTTTCAGGGATCAATATGTAACATTACTTCATTCTTCTCTAGTTCTGATTCAATAAAGAATATGAGAGGAGATAAATGTTTATTAAAATGTAACTTATAATAATGACAATGATAATTGGTTAAAATAACTTTAGAAACTCCTCCAATTGGATATGCAAGCAATTTCTCATTATTTAAAGTCAACTAAATTGTTACCTGCAAGTCTTCCTTGGACAAAGTCTGATTCAATAAGTTTATGTCCTGGAAAAACAGTAGAGCATAGCATGCCAGGAGGTTGGCAGGAATGAAAGAGAGAAACTGAAAAGTACCTGCAGAGAGAAAGAGTCTTTCTCCCAATTAGTCTTCCACATCAAGTCAGTTATCCTTTCTCTTCTAGGGAGGTCAATGATGGGGTGTGAAGAAGCAGGAAGTGTAACTCTCATCATTCATTTTATTTATGTTTTCTTTTACTTTGCTTCCATGGATATACAAAACATGAGCCATAAACATTCTTCCTCACACAGGATTTGCCCTCTCTACCCCTGAGGCTAATATGAGCATCCAATAAAAATTTAGTATGATCTTATGGCCATTTGTAGCCACTCACACACAATATGACAGAAATCCACACAAAATGTGTTTCTGAAACATACATGGACCTTTAATGATTTTATGATTTTGTTCATATTATTTTGCCATTGTTCCAATTTGATACTGTCCTTTTTTTCTTACAATCTTCTTAATTTTTTTCCAAATCACACAATTGTTTTCTCTTATTTAAAAAAAATTCTTTACAGCTGTGAAGTAATATGCATCTAGTTAATATTTGAATTTGAAGTGTTGATGTCATTTATTCTGATTGGCCAATAACCACTGGTTATTAAATATTTTAAATATAAATCTTGTTTATTTCATTACATTTTATTGTTTAACAGTCTTTTTCAATAGTTTGTTAGCTTAATTAGAAACACCTTAAAGCATGACTTGACATATATATGTTATATATATTGTGTGTGTGTTTATCACTGTGATTTACACACATATTAAAAGGCTTTGTAAGTTAAAAGTGATATATAATATTAAGGCATTTTAACTCACTTGAAATTGAGTGTTACTGATTATTAGAAAAGCAATGAACTACACATAATATATGGAGGTTTAAAACATTCTTAGACCTAGGTATATGGAGCCTATTTATTATATATATTATATATTTTCCATCACTGGTTTTTAAAGTAATGAAAATATGTACATATATTTAGGTTAGACCAAATAGAGGAGGTAAAAAACAAATTTATGATCTCTTTCCCTTCTCCTTCTAACTTACTTTTCCTAACACAATCTGTTAGACCCATTGCAATAGATAAGTTGAGAGGATCTC
Source organism: Homo sapiens (assembly GCF_000001405.40). Taxonomy (NCBI): domain Eukaryota; kingdom Metazoa; phylum Chordata; class Mammalia; order Primates; family Hominidae; genus Homo; species Homo sapiens. The sequence goes on along the minus strand of NC_000005.10, from coordinate 23,266,236 downwards.
TGGTTTTTGTTTCCCTGTTTCAAAGTAGATATGAGGAGGCCTTTGCTCAATGTCTGTAATACTTTATGAATTTATTTCCCTCTATATTATGTGTTCAGGCTCTATGTTGCCGTTATCTCTCTTTCTAGACCTCTCTCAGCCATGTTCCATGTGAGATAAAAATTTTCCTTTCTATCATACACTGTTATCAATTACTGCCCATATCAATTATCAGGCAGCTTTACAAAATATGTACACTTTCAGAAATCCTAAAAATATGTACACTTTCAGAAATCCTGAGTAAGATAGGTATGAATAGGCAAAGAAAACTGATAAATGGAGGAATAGGTAGCATCTAGGGGCTCGTTGTTTTGACTTAAATAGACTGAGATCACAAAGCATTCCTCAAGGAGTGACCCCTGTCCATCTCCATCAGAATTGCCTGAAATGTATTATTAAACCTGCAGTTTCCTGATCCCCACTTCTAAACCGAATCTCTGTGGTTAGATCTTGGGGGTCTGCATTTCTGAGAATGCCCTTTGATTTTTACTTTCTAAGTAATAGAACTGCCATTTGGCAGGTGCTTTACCTACCTCTTTCTTGAAGTTTAGCAAGGTTTGCTCCACCAGGCTGCATTGAAATAAATGCTGCTTCATTGTTGAATTGAATGAATTCTACGTGTTTTGAAGATTCTGATTTTCCATTTTTTAGTATGACGTATTTGACAGTGATGAAACTGTTAAACTCTAAAAATGATGAATATGGTGTTTTCAAAATTGGAGGTTTAAATGGTGGACTCAGATCTCACGGAAATATATTAGCTCTGTCTGGAATTTGACACTCACTGAGCTTTCCAAAGGGATTTCCATTTCTGGGTCTATCAACACTTTGTTGTAAATGTTTTGTGCTTAGCTAAGAGATTGCTGAGAAACCTGTCAACATTATTATGCTAATGTAAATATTGGCCCACACACAGGAATTATATTATTCTGTTCCTAGTCTTCTTCTTCAGACGTTTCAAGTAATAGCATTTATAATTGTGAGCACAAATGGTACTCGCTGTGATTCAGGAGTCCTGGGACCATCTTTCAACATGATTACAAATAGCATGTTATTTGGCAAACTCATTTGCCTTTGACCCAGTTTCATTGTCATCCATCATAATAAAGGCTTAATGCAGACAATAATTTTACCCCTGTAATTCTACAACAATGTTTTTTATAAGATATAGAAAAGCTTCCATCACGTATGACTGTATTAAAAAAAATACAATAACCCAAGGAATTGCCTATACAACTATAATAAATAATTTGAGTGTCAGACTTTGGTTTAAAATTATTTGCCTTTAAGTTTCTAAGTATGTATAATTTTTTTTAATGAATGGCTTTAGTTCCTACATATCAAGGTAGATTTGATACTTAGTAATAAGCCTACTAAAACTGAGATTTCAATTTAAACCAATACTGTATTAAAATGGCTACAGCCTTAAAATCAAATTACATAGGATACAGTTATTCACTGTATTAAATAACACAAAGTCATTGTTAAATATTTATTCTCTTACCTGGTGTTTATTCAACAGCACGTTGTATAACGAAACTATACATTATTATAGAAAAAAGGACGCCACTTATGTATCTTCACGGGTTCATGTTTTAATGTTGTTTTTCTTGGTGAGAACATTGCAGCCAATCTTGTTTACTAGCATTCGGACAACACTTCATTCAAAATTCTTTCTGGAAGGAAAGAACTTTAATGCATTGTTGGTCCTTGTGTTGCAATGGTGACTGACCTGGAATTTAAAATAAACTACTTCAGAGTCCAAATGTTCCTCATGCTAAAGATATTTTCACTTTATTAGCATTCCATACAATAAAGTATATCTTATGGGTTCTTTAATCTACAAATAGCATCAGACACTTTGTGAAAAATATTTTTATTTTATTCTTTAAACTCATTAAGTTTTAAAAAATACATGTTTTCACAATTTCTGCCCTTTATCTATTGAAGAAGTATGAACGTTAAAGACAAGGTGGTTAAACTTAAACTATGAATTTGGTTGACATCTGAATTGAATGTATGAAGTGATACATTGCTTTACTTTTTCCTTAAGACAAATTTCCAAATGCCTTGCTTTTCCAGACATGAAAACATAGAAATAAGCTAAAAAAAAATAAATAAAACAATGTTTACATTCAAAACTCCCAATTACCTAATGAAGGTAGTTATGTTATATATTTGCCTCATATACCACTATTTGGTTCAAACTTTTTTTTCATTTTGTAGAGAATGGGGTCTCACTATGTTGCCCTGGCTGATCTCAAACCCCTACGCTCAGGCTATCCTCCTGCCTCTGCCTCCCTCAGTGTTGGGATTATAGGCTTGAGCCACTGTGCCTGGAATATACTACTACTAAATATTGAAAAAATATTTACAAGAAGAGAAAAATACAAACAGTCTTCAGGAATTACTGGTATTTAAAAAGCCATTTTGTATTACAATAATAACATAATGTATAATTACAAAATATCTTATCCCATTTCCATAACTAATACATTAGAAAATAGAATGTTGCTTAAAAGTTAGGTGAAATGTGTGTGCGTAGTAAAAAGCAATTCAGTGTAAAAAGAAAGATTGCCAGTTTACCAAAAGAAAATACTTTCAAAAAAAATTTGGACACCACAATATGCTTACTTTGATGGTATATATGTATTTTATCCTCTCCACAACAATTTCCAGGTAATAGCCCATTATTGTTTCTGCTGTGCTACAGAAAGCAAGAATATAGAATTGCACAGAATATCAAGGTTGCTTTCAGGATTAAACATTTTGTAAGTACATCAGAATTTTTCAGGACTAAAATCATTATAATGAGATTTTGCCTTTTCAGGATTCCAAGCTTTTAGGAACTTTCAGGTAGCCCATCTTACTGCAACTCCAAGTGACAGAATATATATGATTTATTGACTGTGAAAATCATTATACTTACTTCATTTAAAATGATGCAGATTTAGAATGATAAGCACATAAATTTGCTATAGAAGTTAAATTGTGTAGGAGATTAGCATAAGGTTACTATGACAAGGAATCCACTGTCTATGTAAAAACTGTCCAAGGAAATAGTGGATTCTGGTGAAACTGATGACAGTAAACTCCAGGTCCTTTCAAGACAGCTGATACAGTCACGATCTTTGACAACAAGATAACCCTTCAAATCCCTGTTGATCACAACACTAGACGGTCAGAATATATGTTAGATCAGGAAGGGAACAAGTGTTTAGAAGAAATGAGCCCCGTCAACAAAGCTGTAACCTCAGAAAAAGGCCTCAAAGGCCTCTGCTATCCACAGTGGTTACCACTGATAAGTACACAGCTTGAAGACCCAGATGGTAGTTTTCCAAAGGCTGAGATGACAGAAAAATGTGGCAAAGAAACCAGAAAAAATACTTGCAGTCTGCAGCTACTGGCCTGACTTTAAAAATGGCAACCAGCAAAGTCCTTTCTGATTCTAAATGTATTGGTAAATATTTGTTTTCTTCCAAATCATAAATAAGATCCAAAAAATATACCAAGTCAGATTGTCTCTACACTCATCAAGAATACCTGCACTGCTTCAAGAAAGTAGCACAGCATTAGTACCATATTTAAGTAGTCATCTTTGCCATTTCTTGCCTATTTTTAAAAAGTAAAATATTAGGCCGTGCGCAGTGGCTCACGCCTGTAATCCCAGAACTTCGGGAGGCCCAGGCGGGCGGTTCACGAGGTCAAGAGATGGAGACCATCCTGGCTAACACAGTGAAACTCCATCTCTTCTAAAAATACAAAAAATTAGCTGGGTGTGGCGGCACGCACCTGTTGCCTCAGCTACTCAGGAGGCTGAGGCAGGAGAATCGCTTGAACCTAGGAGGCAGAGGTTGCAGTGAGCTGAGATCGTGCCACTACACTCCAGCCTGGGTGACAGAGTGAGACTCTGTCTCAAAAAAAAAAAAAAAAAAAAAAAAAAAAAAAGTAAAACATTCTTTTTGTTAGCTGAACACTGTAGATTTAACAGTTTCCAGAACCACCCTGCCATCACTGTATTGCCACAACATGCCTTAAAGTGGTTTCAGCTTTAAACCGGGATAAAACCCAATCCCCCCAGAATATTTTGTGTTTTTGAAAACGTTTTCTTCTATGGTAAAAGCTGTTTTACAGATCTGATCCAGTCATTGAAACTTGCAATATATAGTTTTCTTACTAAGATGTTTATTTCCTTTATAATATGCCTAATGTTTTACATATGGAATTTTATTCAGTGGGCCTAACATGAGTGGTGGTTGTTACTATGAAAGAAAGTCAGTGTAAGGAACAGCTAAAATTTTTTTAATTTTTAAAATATTTTTTGAGGCCCAAAAAGGGGTATATGAATTATGTATTATTTTCCTTGGGGTTTGCCAATATTTACATATATATTATATTATATATTTATATATATAATGATGTCAGCACTATTTATGATTTTTCAATCTTTGTCAAAAATCTATGTGCAAAACGTGGAAGTCTTATTTATCATGGCAAAGAGATCCTAGGGCTCCATGCAGATTCTTCAGAAGTGAAACACAGCATTTGACATCCTTTCTGCTCCTGTGCATCAGAAAACACTATTTAATTGCACTACAGCCTCTCTGGAGCCCCTCTGTACCTGTGATGATGATGATGGCTCTTCTCACTATTCTTGCTTCTCTCTGGTTAGATCAATTGGCTTCTGGATTACAGTTTTAGAAATGCTGAATCCTGTCACCTTCCCACAAATAAGAATGTCTGTATCATAATAATTAAATGCTTTTGGAGAGAATGAAGACAAACCTACTTTTTAACAAATTTTTTTATGTAAACAAGGATCTTTAGCAATAACCAAGAACACAAGGAATGAAAAATAAAATCAAACACACAGGCTCTACATTAAAAGTAGTTCACCTTTTAATTGTGTTAAAAGATGAATAAACCTGAAAAGATATTTTAACATATGAAGCAATAATTGGTAAAGGTAAAAACATGGATGGAAAAATAACCCTCCTGCTAAAGTTTGAGAAAATGTAAGTATGTTGGATTAGAATTAAAAGTAACTGAGTGAGTCCTGAGGAAATACAAGCATCAGTGCATGGTGTGAAAGGAAAAATCAAAGGAATTAAGATTTACTCTGTGACATTTCTAAAAATAAGTAGAACCCAAACAGTGTAATGATTCAATAAGACCATTTAACATGATGTGTCAAGATTTTTTTAAAATTTTTATTAATTTGGGGGCTCAGAAAAATACCTCTAAAATAACAAGGATTAGTCACAGTGGGATCCCACCATTGGCTCCCAATTACTATGCAGTAGTAGTGGCTTGTCATGATGTAACACAGCATGAATTTTTTTTCCCAGAGGATAATAAAGTTGATTTTTTTTTCTGCCTTTTTGTTAGTGGTTCTATACAGTATTAACCCAGGATCAGAACTGTGGAACTAAAGCATACTTTTACTACTTCCGGCCCCAAATTCTCTGTAAGCTATATCTGTTTCCATTTTGTGCCAAAGATACTTGAACTACTAAACTAAAAATTTTAATTGCTCTCCTTTAATTAGCATAGCTGCTTTTTTGCAAGTCAAAGTAATATTAATAGCTAGTGAAAGTAGTGTTTCTTTACCCGACTATAATTACATGTATTATAATGAACCATTTTAAAAAACCTTATTGCTAGAATTCACTAATTGGAAAATAATAGAAAAAACAGGTATTATATAATTATTTGCAATGTGTTTGAAGAAACTCAACTAATGTTGCCAATTACATTAAAATATAAGAATCTCTATTATTTTTGTTCAGAAAAATAAAATTTCATGTTGAACATAAATTTATAATAGTATTCTGCCTAGACTTGCAAATTTGCATAGATGAGTAAAAAATGATAATTTAATCATTGTGCTAGTGTGATTCTATCTTGGTAAGGAAAAACAGGTTAGTGCAGTTATAAAATAATAATAATAAATAATGAGGAAATTAGTGTATTATTTATATCAGTGGTCTCAAAGTTTAGCATTCATCAGAATCACCAGGAGGGCTTGTTTGTCCTCATGCTCAGAGTTTCTGATTCAGTATGCCTAGAGTGGTACCCAGGAATTTACATTTCCAACAACTTACCACATGATGCTTATGCTACCCACACTTTAAGAACAATTGGCCCATGGATGACAAAAATGATTATTTGCAGTAAGTAAACAAAACAAAACAACAATGATAACAAACAGTATAAAATGCTATTTCTTTATGTTTCTACCTATGCAATGGCAATTCTAATCAAGGTCAGCGTTAAAATAACTCTTCCCACAGAGGTTGCGTGGCTCCCATTGTGCAAACCACCTCCCTTTTAAAAAAGAGAAGAGGAGACAAAAAATAAAAATAGACAGATAGACAGAGACAAAGATAAACAGCTGGAGCCCAGTCTTGCCTGTTATAATCACATTCTACCATTTTAACAGTTTTCTGCTTCTATCATATACTGTATATATATTATTTCTAACTTATGTATACACTATATCCATGTGTATATGTTATATATTTCTAAGATAAATGCATATTTAGATAATAAGACAGACTAATAGATTCTCTTCCATTTTGCATTATTTGTCCCAGTGGGCTTTGTTGGCTGTTGCAAATTGGCTTCCCTGAGAGCAGACTCTGAAACAAGGATGAGCACACAGGGAGCATCTGAGGAGTGCTCTGCATCAGCACCTATAGGCCTAGGACAAGAAGCCAGACTAAGTATAAAGAAAAGTTAGGATGTAGTATTATAATGGTTAATATTGTATGTCAACTTGACTGGGCCATGGAGTAATAGGACATTTGTCCAAACATTTTTCTGGGTGTGTCTGTTAGTATGTTTCTGGATAAGACTAATATTTGAATTATAGTGAAGTCTTTTGTCCTCCCTAATGTGGGTGTGCCTTAGTCCATCATGTGAACATGGAATCGAACAAAAGGCTGAGTAAGAGGGAACTTCTCCTGCCTGACTGTCTTTAGGAATAGTGAAGGTCTTTTCCAGTCTTTGGAAACATAGGCGTTAATGGGTCTCTGCTTGCTAACTACAGATCTTGGTACTGCTCAGCCATCACAATCATGTAAGCCAATTCCTTATAATTCTCAGTATAGATAGATATAGTTATATATGTACATATATAGATGATAGATAGATAATAGATAATAGATAGATAGATAGATAAGTTAGAGCCCATTGGTCTGTTCCTCTAGAGAATCTTGAGTAATACACATATATTCTCAAAAAAAGCTTTATGAAAGTCCTCAGTAAACTCTGGACCTGAGGTGGTCCTTCCGAATTGATTAAGATGGGCATTGAGATCTACCTTTATATCACTTTCCATTGATCAGTTATTAGATAAAAGTTGGCGTTCTTTGGTCATGGGTGATCCAAGGAAAGGGCTGAAAAGTAAAGGCTGTCACTTGCAGCACTCTCAGGAGCTGCAGTGCAGAGTAGGTTTCCAAAAATCACATGACAACATCCACTACTACATTCAGCGTGATTTACAAGGCTGCCTTACAAAACTTCCTTCCACTTCGTGCCTGCTTTCATTGGACCATTGGCGTGCCTCTTCTCGATACCTCCTTGACGCAGTTATCCAGTCTTTTGCTTTGACCTACTTTCCAAACCATTTGTTATAGCCTATGAGTTCACGGTCTTCAGGGACACTCGACTGGGGCTGTTATGCAGCAATAGTTCATTTTTGGCTACTATCCACGTGCTAGGCCAATTTATTGTCAACCAAGCTCAGCCACTTTTCCTCTATCAACTGATCAGGAGTAATTCCCTTTGTCAAACTCAGCCTAAAATAACAATGATTAGAAAATATGATTAAGTAAAGAGTTTATTTGAAGGCTACTTGGGAACATAGATTCAAGTTGCCCTTAATATACAATCCAATTGGCAACAGTTGTAACTGGGTTTTTAAGAAAAAAGAAGAGGCAAATTCTAAGTTGTTTACCAATAATTTACCTTAAAACAGCAGAAGTTATTAGTGGGCTACACATTGCTATTTGTATCACGAATTTCAGGAACATGAAGATAATGGGTGAGACTGCTAGTCAGGAACAAAGTACCTTTAAACAGTGGCCCCTGGGCATGGGGGGTGTGGGTGTGACTAAAGGCCCCTACTCAAATGTCTCTAGGCCTGATAAATTAAGCATAGTTCACATAGCTTAAACTGCTATTTTTCTTCTCTCAGTGAACACATGTGACCTGAACACATGTGTGAGCTAATGGAGAGCCACAGGTGAATCAATGGAGGATGGTATGGGGAACTAAACCACTTGCTGTGCCATCAGGCCCTATTCATGCCCAATCCTGTATATATCCCTTCTGATGTTATGGTAGACTGCTGCTGGGCACACCAACCTTGTGACTTATTCAGGGTGACTCAACCCAGCTCAGAATGGGCAGTTTGCCATATGTTGTCACTTGATGAACCATAGCCTTGTGTTCCATTTTTGACAAGCCCAGTAGTATGGTGTACTGGGACCAAGTGAGAAATGAACTTTAAAAACAATAAATACTCTGCCACTTAACATAGCCACGTTCAGCACTTTGAATAAAGGCTCTGCCACTTAAGATATGTAATATGCCACTTAACATGTATAATATAACATATAATATGCCGCTTAACATATACAACATATAATATGCCACTTAACATATTTGACATAATATGCCAATTAACATATGCCACTTATATATAACATATATGCTTGTGTTATATATAACTGATAAATAACATATGTATAACATATATGCCACTTAACATATGCCACTTAACAGATATAACATATACTATGCCACTTGACATATATAATAAATACTCTGCCACTTAACATAGCCTTGTTCAGCACTCTGGGGTGTCTACCTTTTGCATAAGTCACATTGAGCATATTTTACCATTACTAGTATCTCCAATATCATTTATACTACAGCCCACACTTGTCTCAGCCCTTTCCTACTCTGAGCCTTACTCAACTCTAGCAACTTTTATTACATTTTTATATGGGTTGAAACAATATTCCCATGTAGAATATACTGTCTTAACAACTCAATGTGTCTCACAGGACATTGTGATTCTTTTAAACGGTGGAAGTTGAGATACAATGATTGATTCATTTTTTTACATTGAACTTCATGCTCCAGACTATTGGATTTCTATACATTTTATAAATGTGACAGCCCTGAAACTTCATAGAGTTTTGTAGCACATTTGTTCTTAAAAGGCCTCCTATGAACTTACCATTTCTTTCTTATCCCATCTTATTTGCATAATGTTGTCAATATAGTTGATCATTTTCTATGCTGTAGGAAGCTAGAAAGAACAATTATCTTTAGACAAAGTAGGACTTTTACCATGGCCTAGTGCAAGATTGTATGTATACATTGTTTTTCACCCTACATAAATGAACTGTTTATGATCCTTGTATTAGTTCATTTTTTGCTACTATAAGAGATTACCACAGATTGGGTCATTCATAAACAATGTCAATTTATTTATCACAGTTCTGGGGCCTGGGGAGTCCATTTCAAAATGCTGACATCTGATGAGGGCCTTTTTTCTGAATCATTTTTGGCAGAAGGCAGAAGGACAAGATAGTACTTGACAGCTGGAAGACGGGCAATCTCATCTTTTTGTAAGAAATCCACTATGATAACTAATCCCCTCCATTGACAATGGCATTAATCCACTAATTATGGCCACGTCATCATAATCTAATCAGTTCTTAAAAGTTCAACCTCCCAGCACTGTTGCATTGAGGATTAACTTTCTAACACATTAACTTTGGGGGACACATCCAAACAGTAGCAATCTTTTCTTATAGGGATGTAGAAGACTGCATGCAGTAGGTAAATGCACATCATGTACGTATATCAAGTTGGCATTTTATCTTACAGCAAAGATGCCACATATGTAGCATAGCAATTGCGATGAAGAGTACTACTTATTTAAATCTGTGAAGGTCTACTGCAATTATCTTGGGTCTATCTGGCTTCTAGAGAGGCATGTCTGATGAATTAAATCAAGCTATATCAAGGGCCATCATCTTTGTGTCCTTTTTATATATTTTAGGGTGGCACTATTATAATTTACTCTCATGAGGAAAAACATTGTTTTTGATGTACAACCATGGAAGAAGGTAAGGCGGGACATTTTAGAGGCTTCCACTTTTTCATTTCTACTGTAGATAATAAGTCTTACCCCATAGTCCAAGAAATCAATATGCAGATTGGGATATCTACCAAGTATGTTCTTCAGACACTAAGAAACAAATCAATAGTTAGTTCTATGGATCCAGCGAACCAAAGGTGAGGTGGAACTAGGCTAGGACTAGTCACCAGTCACCACATGTCTCCCTTTCTAACAGAGAACCTTGAGAATGTCTTTTTTCCCTACTATTAGTATTGATTCTGACTGTGTAATATTCTCCCAATGTTTGAGGTATTTCTCATTCCCAATGTATTCTTGCCCAAGCAAACGGCCACTGGTTTCATTGAGGAAAAACTGAGGAAATCATTATATTCACCATAAAGTTGCAGGGCTATCCTTTCAGGGAACAAAGAACTATGGGCCTATAAACTGGCTCAGATATGGAAACTGGGCAAGAAATATGCCTTTTATTGATATGGATCTATGCAACTTCTTGATCATCAACAGTTTGGGTTGTATAGATAGATCAATTTTCTTCTTGGAGGACCACTTATGTTTTCCCTAGGGATGCTGTTTCTTAATTAAGCACCTGCATTGGCTCTCTGAGGATCATGTACCCATGAATGAGACTCCAGCCTTGCCACTCATGATGATTGTGTTTTACTTGAATCTGTCAGTTAAGTGCTACCACCTGGCTTCTGTAATTTCAGTTTTGTATCATCCTTATTACTCAATAAACCAAGTTCTAAAATGGCATCTCCTACTTCTATCCCTTAAAGAGTTGTAGAACCTAGCCAACAAGTGCTGGTGGGATCCAGGAGAAAAAATGTAGGTCTGAATTCTAATCAAGAACAAATGGAACATAAATTTAATTAAAGGATATATAAATATAGGTATAAGTATATGTAAATATAAAACTTACAGAATATACCATCCAGGCATGGACTCCAGCTGCAGGCTGATCACCAGACTTCTAAAGGATGCTACGATCCCTCTTACCATTCTTTATTACCTTGGTCACTAGAATATCTCCTGTACCCTTCCTGACAACACAGTCAACTGGTGAGTGGTGCAAACTTCCATAGTATAATCAATCTGATAAGTCTTATTTTTTGAACACTTTGATCCATCCTTCCAGTCTTCGTGTAAATATCTTTTACTTCTACTCAACTTAACATTGGCCATTTATTTCCCTAAGTTTTTAAAGACTTATCATCATCATGTTTGCACTGTATTCTAGGGTCCTTGGGTGGGTGATACACTCTGTGAAGCATATATCTATATCTGTATACATATTTTTTGAGATGGAATCTCGCTTTTGCTGCCCAAGCTGGAGTACAATGGCGCCATCTCGGCTCACTGCAACCTCCGCCTCCTGGGTTCAAGTGATTCTTCTGCCTCAGCCTCCTGAGTAGCTGGGATTACAGGCATGCGCCACCACATCGGGTTAATTTTGTATTTTAGTACAAACAGGGTTTCTCCATGTTGGTCAGGCTGGCCTCAAACTCCTGACCTGAGGTGATCTGCCTGCCTCGGCCTCCCAAAGTGCTGGGATTACAGGCGTGAGCCACCGTGTCCAGTATCTATATTTCTATATTTCTTTAAGGGTCTCTTGCACCATTAATAGACCCAGCATTTCACAAGACAGATCACATTTTGGCTTAATGCTAATTATGGTTCTTACAGTCAGAAGGCTAATGGAGGCAGATTTTGAGGAAACTCTGTTTTGATTTTCAGGGAAGAGGCCTCTGTGTTTTATTCATGTAAGGAAGATCTGCTATACACAACGAAGAAGGAATGAGCCATTTATTCAGATTCAGAGGATTCAAGATAATCTGAGTTTTCGAGAATGTAGAATGTTCAGTGCCCAGATGCCTCTGTCTCCTATCAGAGCATTCCATTCTTTCCTACTTAAAGTCTGGACATAAGCATAACATAAATGCTTACATTTCTTTGGAACTCAGTGGCCTTGTCTTGAACTTTGCTATTTTGCTGATGGATGCTCTTAATAAGCTGCCAGCTTTGTCTATGGACTATTACATAAAGCCTTTAATTAATGATTAATCATCCTTGGCCTTGTAGTGTCTTTCTCTTCACCAACATCCATCTATTTCCATTTTCCTTATAATTGCTATCCCCCCCATATTTTTCAAATGATAAACATGGAACAATTGCTAGTGCATTTTCTCCCAGTGGTATACCATCACATTTCACCACTAGTGAGAATTTTAACAAATATGTTGCTAGCTCTTAGCCAAAATAAGCACTATTTATGCTTGACCCTCAAGCAATGAAGGCCTCATTACCACCTTTCAGTTAGTAATCCATCACCAATATTTCATATTGGTGTCTGCTTTCTCAGACCAATTCTAGAAAAATTGATGAATATGTTTCCCAAGGAAGCATATGCTTTGACAGAAGAATCAGCAGGCCATGTATTTATCGGGGAGTGCTCTAGTGATCAACATCTGAGGGGAGGGAATGAAAGCATGATTGGGCAGAGAAAGAAGCTGGACAGCAATGTAGTACAAATAAAAGTTTCAGCTGACCTTGCAGGGATATTCAAAACTGAAAGGGGGGAGGGCGGAGGGATAGCATTGCTATCCCTAATGCTAAATGACGAGTTAATGGGTGCAGCACACCAGCATGGCACATGTATACATATGTAACTAACCTGCACATTGTGCACATGTACCCTAAAACTTAAAGTATAATAATAATAATAATAATAAAATAAATAAATAAAATAAATTTTAAAAACTGAAAGGCACTTTAAGGATATGTCATACTGAGAGAAGAGATCAGATTTTTATATATCCACAGTGACCAATCACTGGATGCAGAAATGGATGAGAAATTGGGCAAAATTACTTTTTTAAAGCAAAGGGCAATAGTGAGATGAAATTTTAGGCATGACATCCAATTTCACTCCTAGTAGCTGGGAGAAAAGTCCTTCCATGCTGAAAGAAATTTCTAATGGTGTATTATAGTGCCCATTACATTAGCACACAGGCATATTGCATATTTGTCTTCTCATGCTAAACAAAAATCATTAGGGCTTCAGAATTTCAGCTTAAAATGTCTGAGATATTTTCTCTGATTCTTGCTATTTCTACTCTGTTCCTATTAGGTAGTTGATTTAGTCCCTCTAGGTCACTGCAAATATCTCTTCAAAACTATCCAAAGAAGCTTTGCCTAATTTTATATTGCCTATCTCCACATTAAATCTCAAGCAGACAAAGACAAGGCGCCCACTTTGTCTTTCTTTACTCATTTAATAATTAATTGTGGGCTCATTTATTTTTCTATTTTCCACCTGAGCAATTGATTCTCCCTTCTCTGGAAACTTATGAGTTATTTATTGTTTGTATTGTATACTTCATAGTTTACTATTTCTGCATTACATCATAGGCTATTACTAATAGCCTATTGTTGACCAGGAGCCTTATCACTAATATAAACAGTTAACACATGTTTTGTATGTTATATATAATTCCACTTAATTTACTGTGCTCTTTTTTTTTTTTTTTTTTTTTTTTTTTGAGACCGAGTCTTGCTCTGTTGTCCAGGCTGGAGTGCAGTGGTGTGATCTTGGCTCACTGCAACCTCCGCCTCCAGGGTTCACACCATTCTCCTGCCTCGGCCTCCTGAGTAGCTGAGGCTACCCGCCACCAAGCCCGGCTAATTTTGTATTTTTAGTAGAGATGGGGCTTCACCATGTTGGCTAGGATTGTTCTACCTCCTGACCTTGTGATCCACCTGCCTTGGCCTCCCAAAGTGCTGGGATTACAGGTGTGAGCCACCACGTGCAGCCATTACCGTGCTCTTATAACAAAGTAAGCTAGAGAAAATAAATGCTCTTGCAAAGATCATAAGGAATAGAAAATATATTTACTATTCATTAAGTGGAAATGGATCTTTGTAAAGGTTTTCATCCTGGTTGTCCTCAAGTTGAGTAGACTGAGAAGAAGGAGAAAAATGAGGAAGCAGTCTTGCTGACTGAGGGGTGGCAGAAGCAGAATAAAATATATGTGTAAGTGGACACTTACAATTTAAACATGTGTTGTTCAAGGGTAAACCATAGTCTTATTTGACATAATGTAATGACATATTGTATAATGTCATCACTGGTGTGATTACTTCATTACCTTTGTCATATAATATAACCTAATAATATGGAAATGACTCTCCCATCATATTTACATGCCTCGTTTACACTGAAAGGGCAGGGTTTGTGCACTATGGCACAGAATTCTACCTAAAACATTATATTAGTTTCGTCATTATTTTGCTTATCATTTCTGTGATGTTTTTCTGTATCAATCTTTTGATTTAATAGATGTTGCTAAGGCTACCAATCATTTCCATATTGCTAAATCCAACAAATAATTGTAAACCATCATCTTCCTTGACCTCTTAGAAGAATGCAATTTCTTGACCATTTCTGAAACACAATACTGGACTTCCCTAATTCATTAAAATTACATGTGTCATTATACATTCTAAGGCTAAGAGGTGTCAATGGTATAACAATACATGATTATTCACTGGCCATCCCAAAAAACAAATTATGAGTAGTCCTCAGTAATAAGCAAATAAATATTTGTCTAAATACTTATATTTTCCAACTACCATTTAGGAATTTTATGAAACTGATTTCTCTTCTACACATATTATAATTATGCCAAATCTGTAGCATTGGCAACTGTTTTGTAGTATATATAGATTCCTAAACTTGATGCCTCTAGGATCTTTCAGAAATGTAGAGTCTGAAGATGAAGAAATATAGTTTTGGAGATTAACTAAATAAAAAAGTAGCCATAAAAATCTGCATATTTTGTATATAAAATATTTACATTGCCAGTGCTGGCCATATCCATAACTTTTAAAAATTTGCTTGTGGAGCAAGTGAACACAATTACAATGTATTTCTGTATAAAACATTTATTAATGCATATCAGAAACACATATAAAATGCTTATATATTTATGATTATTGTTACAATGAATAAATGTTTTGTGAGACACATTCAAATGTAAGACACATTCTCTTGTTTTTACAATAGCACAGTAACATTCAAAAAATCTACTAGAACTTAGACTCCTTGAGCAAAAAATATTATTGAGCTGGAAATAAATAAATTTCCTTGTTGGGTTCTGACTTCTCTCACTTTATTTTTCTGTTACTTATTGAGTAACTCTGCATTCTTTTTATTAAAATATTTCTATTTACTTGTTTCATAAATTATAATTACTGGGCGTAGTACAACTATTACAACAGTATTTACCCTATATGTAGATATTCAGCCTGACTAATTAAAATATTACCTGAATTACCAAGTGTGCTAATTGTAGCATCACATTTAGCATATGTAATGATGAAACTAGATTATTCTGGGGTAGTTCATAGAACAGTCTTCCATATACAATACTGACATACATTTTATAATTTAATTGCTAGCACATAAATGATAAATTATATTTGTTTTTATAAGTATATAAATTCAGGAAAATTTTAACATGACACAGACCCTGCCTGAGTTTATATCCAGAATATTTTATTGTAACCATTTATAGCTTTATTTATGTAAAATCTGAATGTATTAATTATTGATACACTTGAATTAATAACAACAGATCAAATTGAATAATATTTATTCAGAATGACCCTAAGTTAGGAAAACAGGTGGGTAAGAAAATAATTTGTTTTGCTTTACTTTTTAAATGACAATTTAATTTCTTTTGGACAGAACAGAAACATAATTCTATCTATTCTTAGTTAAATATATTTTCCTCACTGTTGTATCCAACTTCTAGAATTATTACTGAGCTTCAGAAAATTCAAGGAAAGGGTCTAAGGCTACATCTGGGTCTTTAGTTGGAGATCATCTATCATTATTGGATTGTTTATTGCTCCTTTTAAGTCTATTCTTTCTGTCTGAATTTTGAGGGTTTTTTTTACAGTTATAAGAATCTCTGTGACTTGACATTTTATTTTTTATTTGCTTGTGGTTTCCTTTTTGGTTCTTAGAACATTTTTTAATTATTTTTGAGATGTAAATCACCCTTGTAAAAAAAATGACATTAGGTATTACATACAATAAAAGATGTTAGCTTCAACCCCAAACCCTGGTAAATACCACTAATAGTTGGCACTTGAAAAAAAAAAAATAGGCCAGTAGAACAGAAAAGAGAACCCAGAAATCAATCCCTACAATTACAGTAAATTCATTTTCAACAGAGATACCAAGACTGCACCATGCAGAAAGGACAAACTTGTCAATTAATGGTGCTGGGAAAAGTGAATATCTACATGCAAAAGAATTAAATTGGACCATCGTATCACTGCATATACAATAATCAACTAAAAATGAATTAAAGACTTAAATGTAACGCCTGAAACTATAAAACTACTAGAAGAAAACTTAGAGAAAAAGCTCCAGGATATTGATCTGGGCAATTTATTTTTGATATGATATCAAAGCACAGGAAACAAAAGCCAAAGTAGACAAATCGATTACATCAAACAAAAGAGCTCTGTAGAGCAAAAAAAAAAAAAAAAAAAGAAAAAGTGAAGAGACAACCTACAGAATGAGAGAATATATTTTCAATATATATATCTGATAAGGGGCTAATATCCAAAATAAACAAGAAATTCAGATAACTCAATTTTGTAAGAAAACTTTAAAAATTGGGAAAAGACCTAAATAGACATTTCTCAAAAGAAGACAAACGAATGGCTAACGGGTATATGAAAAAAATGCTCAACATTACTAATCATCAGGAAAATGCAAATTAAAACCAAAATGAGATTCTACCTCACACCTGTTAGAATAGCTGGTATCAAAAAGACAAAAGATAACAAGTGTTGGTGATGTGTGGAGAAAAGGGAACCCTCACACATTGTTGGTATGAATGTAAATTAATAAAGCCATTATGAAATACAGTATAAAGGCTTCTCAAAAAACTGAAAATGGAACTACCATATGATCCAGCAATCCCACTGCTGGGTATATATTTAAAGGATCTAAAATCAGTATGTTGCAGAGATATCTGCACTTCCATGTTCATTTCAGCATTATCTCCAGTAGCCATAATATGAAATCAAATAAGTGTCTATCAATGGATAAATGGATAAAGTGTTATATATACATATACACAATGGAATACTATTCAGCCTTAAGAAAGGACAAATTTCTGTCATTTGTAACATCATGTATAAACCTGAAGGTTATTATGTTAAGTTGAAATAAGCCAGGTACAGAGAGATAAATACCATATGATCTCACTTATGTATGTAGTGGAAAAAAGTAAAACTTACAGAGATGGAGGGTAAAATGGTGTCTACCAAAGGCTGCGATTGAGGGAACTGGGGACATGTTCATCAAAGGATACACACTTCCAGTTAGGCAGGAGGAATAAGTTCAAGATATCAACTTTACGTCATGGCGACTACAGCTAATAATAGATTTTAAGTGAAAATTGCTAATAATAGATTTTAAGTGTTCTCACCACACACACTCAAAACGGTATGTGAGGTAATGCATATGTTAAGTAGCTTAATTCAGCCTTTACACAAAGTATACATATTTTTTAAAATCATTTTTTGCATGATTTTAAAAAATCATTTTTTGCATACATATAATTTTTACTTGCAAATTACAATTAAAATTTAAAAATTGGTGGCTATATTTTCATGTCTTTTGCCTTTGAAATAATAGATCAAATTATGGCTAGTATATACATATAAACATTTTTCTCACTTATGTTCAATAATTCTTTTTTTCTTCATCTAGTTTTTTTTTTTTTTTTTGTCAATGCTAATCCATTGCTGGAACAATTTTATAACATTTAAAAAATCTTAGTCTAGAAATAAATACATTTCCTTGTTGGGTTTTTATTTCTCTTTATTTTTTTTATAACTCATTGGATAACTCTGCATTCTCATATTATTAATAACAGAAAAATATCATGTTCATTGATGTTATAGCACCACTATATTTATTTTATTCAAATTCTTCTGCAATCCTTTCAAAAGTGAATAAAAACAGTAACAAAATACAACCTTAAATGCTAACATTTAATTATTTTAGTTAATATGCAGCATTACAAAATGTACACTTAGAATATAAAAATTAAAAAGGAGTATTTGCCCTGAAGTTACAAGTTACAATCATTCTCTTTTATCACTCCTCATTCTAAATTTATTTTCCTTACAATCACTTTTAAGTCATTAAGGTTATCTGCTATTTGCTTTCATACTTCTAATTTACTACCATTTCTTGCTTTTTTTTACATGCTTCATATATTGATGTTAATGTGGAATGAAGTCTATGATATCTTAAATTTGCCACTGCCTGTACACATAACTTTATTTTCATTTTCCTAAAACGCTCAATAAAATTTAACCACCTTTTTGGTGCTATTAGTATTCAATTTTTACATTATGTGACTGAGTAAAAATTCAGATCTAAGACAGAATATGTTACGATTACATTGCCTTTATTGATTTTGAGTGTCTTTATTAAAGATGTAATTTTCTAATTTATTTTGTTTTCTAACTTTGTATACTGTATTAGTCCATTCTAACATTGCTAATAAAGACATACCCGAGACTGGGTAATTTATAAAAGAAAGTTAAACTCAACAGTTCAGCATGGCTGGGGAAGCCTCAGGAAATTTACAATCATGGCAGAAGGCGAAGAGGAAGCAAGGCAGCTTCTTCACAGGGCGGCAGGAAGGAGAACTGGAAACAGGGGAAGTGTCAGACACTTACAAAACATATAACACGATCGACTGGGCACTGTGGCTCACGCCTGTAATCCCAGCAGTTTGGGAGGCTGAGGTGGGCAGATCACCTGAGGTCAGGAGTTTGAGACCAGCCTGACCAACATGGAGAAACCACGTCTCTACTAAAAATATAAAATTAACTGGGCGAGGTGGCACATTGGCACATGCCTGTAATCACAGATACTCGGGAGGCTGAGGCAGGAGAATTGCTGGAACCTGGGAGGCAGAGGTTGTGGTGAGCAGAGGTTGCAGTGAGCTGAGATCGCACCACTGCACTCCAGCCTGGGCAACAAGAGTGAAACTCTGTCTCAAAATAAAAATTTAAAACAAAACAAAACATCAGATCTCCTGAGAGCTCACTCACTATCATGAGAACAACATGGGGGAACCGCCCCCACGATTTACCTCCACCTGGTCCCACCCTTAACATTGAGGATTATGAGAATTACAATTCAAGGTGAGATTTGGGTGGGGACACAGAGTCAAACCATATCATGTACTTACGAATTCATTTTCAAATACTAACTGTATTAGTCAGGGTTCTTTAAGAGGGACAGAACTAATAGGATAAATGTACATAAAAAGGGGAGTTTATTAAGGAGTATTAACTCACACGATCACAAGGTCTCACAATAGGCCATCTTCAAGCTGAGGAGCAAGGAAGCCAGTCCTGGTCCCAAAGCTGAACTTGGAGTCCAAGATTTGAGGGCAGGAAACATCTAGCATGGGAGAAAGATGGAGGTCAAGAGGCTAAGTTTGCTGATCTCTCTACAGTCTTCTGCCTGCTTTTATTCTGGTCATGCTGGCAGCTGATTAGATTGTGCCCACTCACATTAAGTGTGGGTCTGCCTTTCCCAGTCCACTGATTCAAAGGTTAATCTCCTTTGGCAACACCCTAACAGACACACCCAGGATCAATACTTTGCATCCTTCAATCCAATCAAGTTGACATTTAGTATTAACCATCACACTAACAAATACAAAAAAAAATCTTCTGCTATTATGTTCAAAGACATTAGCTTTTATTTCTAAAGTTTCTCATCATTTTTCCTCCCTTTTCTTTCCTCTGTCTTTTCCTTTCTTCATTCCCTTTTTATTCCCTCCTTGGAGATAGCTCTCCTAGTGTCCTTCTTTGTTATTCTTGCAAATTTTTCTCCTGAGTATTTTTATTCTCCATTATTCTGAAAATGTGTTTACCTTATTGTTAAACAGGATCACTTATTTGCAATTACAGCATTTCTTATATTCCTCTGTCTTTG
Organism: Homo sapiens; assembly: GCF_000001405.40. Lineage (NCBI taxonomy): Eukaryota > Metazoa > Chordata > Mammalia > Primates > Hominidae > Homo > Homo sapiens. The sequence continues at coordinate 23,245,990 of NC_000005.10, read as the reverse complement.
TTTACTCCCACAATTGGATGGAACACATTCTTCAGTAACTTTTTGAGAAGTTCACGGAGTTGGTGAAGTATCTGTTTAGAGAAACATGATTGATAAAATATTTTTTGATACTTTCCCATAAGTCGTGGCTTCACATAAATAATTCTGGATTTTAAAGGATGTTCTCTCAAAATATGGAGACTTTTTTTCTTGATATTCTATATTCCAGTTGTAAAAGCCACTTAGATGTCTAAACACTTTAGAGTAAACAATTTCCCCTTCCTCTCAAATTTTACAATGATAGGTTTTGGTATGGGGTTATAAATTTATTTATTTTTTCCTTTTATTGGTCTTTTTCTTTTGGAATATTCATTTCATTTCAAAATAATAATTTATATCTTTAATTTAGTATATTTTCTTATTTAACTTATTTTTATATCCTCATATTTTCTTATTTATTGTATTCTGCAATTCACATTCTGAGGATGTTGGAGAATGCTAATATTTGTATCTTTAGTATTTTTTTAATCTATATAAATTTTTTCAATCCATGAGGAATTTTCTCAACTTGTATCTTATAATATTTTGCATGTCTCATCTCTTATTTTGGGTCACGCCTGTAATCCCAGCACTTTGGAAGGCTGGAGCGGGCAGATCACCTGAAGTCAGGAGTTCGAGACCAGCCTGACCAACATGGAGAAACCCCGTCTCTACTAAAAAAATACAAAATTAGCTGGGCATGGTGGCACACATCTGTAATCCCAGCTACTCAGGAGGCTGAGGCAGGAGAATTGCTTGAACGCGGGAGGCGGAGTTTGCAGTGGTGAGCCGAGATCGGGCGCCATTGCACTCCAGCCTGGGGCAACAAGGGCAAAACTCCGTCTCTCAAAAAAATATTGACCACTATTCTTTTTTTTTTTTTTTTTTTTTTTTTTTTTACAAATACAGTGTTTCCTCTTCCAATTTTGAGAAGATTTCTTATTTTTAAAGGTTTGTCTCAAAGTATATACATGCATATTTTTCATTTAAATCATTTTTCCTTTTCTTAGCTTTGAAATATGTCTTTCATTATATATTTTCCTGAAATGCCTTGATAATTTTCATTGTGATATCAGTAAGCTTAACTACCTATGCTGAAATTTAAAAATCTTTACAGTCTTAGGACTAAAGCAGTGCTTAATTTCTGTCTGTTGCTAACCATTCATAAAAGTGTGTGTTGGGGATTCTGCTCTGTGTCATCATCATGTTCCCTCTTTGACCCAGGCTGATGGAGTGGAAGTGATGGATTGTGAGATATAGTTTGGCTCTTTGTCCCCACCCAAATCTCATATTGAATTGTAATCCCCCATGTTGGGGGAGGGCCCTGGTGGGTGGTGATTGAATCATAAGGGAGGACTTCCCCCTTGCTATTCTCATGATAGTGAATGTGTTCTCAAAATATCTGTTTGTTTAAAAGTGTGTAGCAGTTCCCCCTTCACTTTCCCTTCCTCCTGCTCTGCCACATGAAGAAGGTGCTTGCTTCCCCTTCACCCTTCACCCATGATTGTAAGTTTCCTGAGGCCTCCCCAACCATGCTTCCTGTACAGTCTGTGGAAATATGAGTCACTTAAGCCTCTTTTCTTCATAAATTACCTTGTCTCAGGTAGTTCTTCAAAGCAGTGTGGGAATGGACTAATACAGATTGTATCCAATGACCATGGCACAAAGAAGCTCTTAAAGTTTCTATCCAAGAATGAAAAAATCCACTTTTACTCACATTCTGTTGACCAAAACAAATCCTGAGGCTAAGCCTAAATTCAACATGCTGAAAAGTGAAAAAACAAAACAAAACAAAAAAAAAACCACTTTTACTCACATACTCACATTCTGTTGACCAAAACAAATCCTGAAGCTAAGCCTAAATTCAACACGCTGAAAACTACAACTCTGACATATGGCAAGAAGAGAAAAAATAAACAATTTAGGAAAATGATTAAATGGTGCGTAGTTGTGCCTTTATAATTAGTAATGAGGCACCAAAATGCTTTAAAAGCCTGAGTGGGACTAATTGATAAGAAAAACTTTTAAAATACAGATTCTCAAATTTTATTTTCTGGCGTTTCATCTCCTTGACAAATAAATGTTCACAGAAAGAAATTCTCCTAGCCCTTACCTTGAAAATTGCAGTTAGGGCAACAGTCCAGCCTCAGACATTGTGGAAACCAGGTTGAGAGAAGTTGTAGAACTTTCATCTTCAATGTGTAGACCCAGTTTTCAAGATGGCACTACACCTCCATATTTAGTGTGTCTGTTTTAGGTGAGTCCAGAATTAACAGCTCCATAGGATGTGAATTTTGATTGTGTCTATAGCTAACAGAATTCATACTTTTTAGTTTTTTGGAGGGCATTGTTGTGGAGGTAGGAAAGAGCATATATGCTTCTAAATTCTTCCTTTAAAACCTTCAAACAATCTAATTTTTTCAGCTCATTGGACTCTGCCCAGGAGCATTATCTCTATAGAATCCACTAGCATTTGTTTTCAATACTTTTTCAGCTCTCTTTATTTTCTGTATACTTACATACAAAATTATATAGTATTCTTCACTTGATCTTAGCCAAAAGGCTGAGAAGCGATAAAATTATTTATTATTCTTATCTTGGTTTATCCATTTTGATTTTGGGAGAAACCCTAAATTTGGAAGTGTTTATTTTGGACTATTCATAAGAGACAGAATAAAGTGATGGCATTATTTCCAGTTTGCTGGAGAATGATTAAATGTCCTTGTGACAGTAGGAATACCAAATGAAGCCATTTAATACTCTCATTAAAATATTAATATAATTTTATTGCCTGAAATCATCTAATACTGAATCTTAAAATATATATTTATTATGGGAATATACTACTGATAGGCTGAAAAATGCTGAACATGCAGTAATATAAAATGTAAAATTTACTGAGAGTAGCTTAGGTGGTAAATCCAGATTTCTCCAATAATGGCAGAGGATTAATTGGTGCCATGTATATAATTGTTGTCTTTTTTAAAACTTGATAACAATTGTAAACGTAATAAAGCTTCATGACCATTCAAACTGCTGGAATCAAGATAATTAAGGTATACTTAAATCTAGATAACACCGAGAGTTAATTTAAGTAGTGATTGAGCTTGAACATTCACAAAGTAACATGCAAGATACATAACCTAACGCAATGGAGTCAATTTGTCAATCAACAATTTAACATGGAACATTTATTTATTTTTATCCTTTTTTTAGTTTGATAAGCTTTTATAAATACAGAGGTTTAATCAAAATACTATATAAGGCATTGTCTGCTGAGTTTCTAAGCAAGAATAAATTTTCAAATATATAGGCAATATAATTCAGTGTGAATTTTCCTAGTGTATTTAAAGCTTGACAAATGTGCTGGGTGTATAGCTACTTTTTCTTAGCTACAAAATCACCTTTCCATACTGTGTTGTGAATGCTAAGTCTGTGAATCTTCATATCACATTTTTCCTATACCAGCTGACTCAGTGAAAGGTTCTTCCTATAGTAACTGATCGTAGGAATGAGAGGGCACTTGGCTTCCTGTTTCTTTCTGCGTCACCCAAATTATTGATGTTTACCCTGAGGATGGCAACTGTTCCACCTATAGTTAGGTCCAATTTCCTGTTTTTGTTCCAAATCTGCCACGGCATTTCATTATCCTGTTTTCACACATACTAGAACCAGCTGATGTGGGGGCTGGCGGAGGAGGTCGTAAGAAATCTGAGTTCTCCTGAACTTTTAACAATGCCAGCTTCTTCTCTTTATCCCCTGTAGCCCTAGGAATCTCAACTGCTTTCTGTGGTAACCGGGTTCCCCTGTCCTTTTTTTATCTTTTCATTCCTTATGTACATGGTTAAACCATTCTTTATAGAAAAGTCCTCTTTGCTTACTACTGTTTGATAGCACAAGGTGACTATAGTCAATAAAAACTTAATTGTACATTTTAAAATAGCTAGAAACATGTAATTGAATTGTTTGTAACCCAAAGGATAAATGCTTCAGGGGACGGACGCCCCATTCTCCATGGTGTGATTATTTCAAATTGCATAACTGTAACAGAGCATTTAATGTACCTCATAAATATATACACCTACTATAAACCCACAAAAATTAAAAATTTTAAAATTTTTAAAAATCCTCTCTTTAAATAATTTGTGTTGTCTCTTTTCAAGGAAGTTAGTAGGGATTTAAGCAGTCAAGTGAGATTTGATAAAAACATTAAAATGTCTGTGTCTTTGAAAGATGATTACAATGTGGGTGTCAGAGAAGAGAAGGGGTAACACGGACCAAGAAGCAGAAGTAACGATGAATAGAGAATTTGTAGCAGAGAAGAAAAGTGAAGACTTGAATAATTAGGACAGAAGATGTGTGCTGGAAACTAAATCAGACAGGCGTAACAATTGGACAGTTTGTTGATAACTCTTACTATGGGATGTAAATGGCCTTATAATAAAAAGAATAAGTGGCATATATAACAAAGATATTAAAGGCCTTGAAAACCAATAAAAAACCTTTAAGGGAAATCATATTGCTATTATAAGTTGGTCCAACCAACAGAAAAAAATTCTATAAATAGAAAAGAAAATATTTTATTTTAATTTTCTGTGGCTATGGCTATGATTAGTTTGAAAGTGTGTAACTATAGTAGATATTTGAGACTGAAATAAAAAGCTATCGGAGATACATTATTTATTGAGATTGAAAGAAATCGAAGTGTCAAAGTGACTTTATGGCTTTAGAACTACTCATAGAAATGAGATATTAGGTTTAAAAGTGATTCCAGGAAGTCAGGAGGTGGGAGCAATGAGAAGGTTAGAATCTGAATTTCGATTGTGTTGAGTTAGCAGTAACGGCAGGATCTTTAAAAGAAGATGTCATAAAGGTGGGTAGAAATATATTTCTCTTTTACTGTAGGAGAGAAAGAGAGAGAAACAGATGTGTAACCATACTAAAATATAAGGTGTGTGTATAATTCTAGTGCAGTAATATGGAAATCACTTTGAAATAAACCATTTTCTAGGAAAATCTGAGAATATAAATATATTTTTAGAGTTAGAAACAGAGAAATATAACATTTATTGACATGAAACAACACAGCAACACAATGCTTTTGTGTGATACTATTTACACATATATGTAAATCCCTTTCTGTTTTACTGAGGCATCTTAACTTACATGAAATTATATTGGTTTTATTTTGGGCAGTCACTGATTTTAACTCTGCTTTGTAGAATTTCTCTGTCCTTTGTGTGAGTGTGTCTATGTGTATGTGTGTGTGTGTGTGTGTGTGTGGTCACTTACTACCCTGGGAGGTTGCATAGCATTCTAGTCACTTTCATTTATGAAAAGCAATCACAGAACAGACTGGATTTGTCGACAAGACGTTCCCAAAAGGGAGACAAGATTATGGTCTGCTTTCCAAGTTCTCACACTCCAGGACCTTGGCTCTCAAATGAGAGTGTGTCTTTCCCTCCTCTTTCTCCCTGCTCTGCTCTATTGATTGGGTCAAAAACTTCTTCTGTTAGGGTACAGGAAGGGTGGGGTAATGGAGGCAGAGTTTTTCCTATGTAAGTCTTCACTGCCAAGGAGGTAAGTCCTTGGCCTAATAGGGATTTATTCTGTCCGCTGCCAGGGGCTCAAGCTGTATTCTCCAAACAGAGTGTGGATGTCTGTGGTGTCCTCTGGGCCATGTTCAGCTTGCTCCAGCTGAACTTCTGTCACTCACAACACTCAATACAGTACACCCATGTCCCTCTAAACCCAGTGTCTTATTCTGGTTGTGCTGCTACAACAGAATATCTGAGACTGGGTAATTTATAATAAGCAGAAATTTATTTTCTTACAGTTCCAGAGGCTGTGAAGCCCTAAGTTCAAGAAACTGGCATCTGGCAAGTGCCTTCTTGCCGTGTCACCTTATAGCAGAAGACAGGAGAACTCGAGAGAGAGCCCATTCCTCAAAGCCCTTTTAATAACAGCATAAATCTAACCATGAGGACATATTTCTCATGACCTAAACAGCTCTCATTAGGTTATACCTCCCAATACAATTGTATTGGGGATTAAGTTTCCAACAGGTGAATGTTGGGAGACATATTTAAACCATAGCTCACCTTTGCTTATGCAGCTTTGTGTATTTTTGCCAGAGTTCTGCCTCCTCCTTTAGTTTTCTGGCTTCTTCACTGTAAACACTGGAAAAACAGAGGACTTTTTTATGTCTTTAAAGGATCACAAAGAATGGCATGGAGATTCATGTACATGGGTTTAATTGCATTTATTTTCTTCCCAGGTTCTTCTACACTATGGTAACATAAGTCCTCCTTACTAAACCTCCAGACTAGTAATTAGGCACCATTATCTTTCATATATACCCACAACTCCAGGAAACACATGTCAATCTCTCTCTAGAACTCCCTCACTACCATTTCCCCTCCCTTAACAGGCCTCCCTGAAGAGGGCCTATGGGTTCTGCAGCCCTCCTAAGTTTGGACAAAGGAGCAACAGACCAAATGCTGTTTCACTCAGGGATGGCTGCTCATGTCTGCCATTGATTCTTTTGAATGGCTCTGCTCTTATTGTTTAATGTGCCATAGTACATATAAAATCCCTTATATCATATATAGGTATTGAAAATATTCTAATTAAGAAAAAATAGCTAAATATATTATGATCTTTCTTACTACTGTGATAAATATTCCTACATAAAGTTGAAATAAATTATCAAGTGTAAAGTGACAGACTGTATCACATATTCAGTCTCTCTTTCTAACCACTTGGGAAATTTGTGAAACAAACTCCCATTCTCTCTCACTCAATGGAGAGCTCTTTCCATTTCTTCCTGAGGTCTTCCTGTTTTCTCACCCATTATCCCTCTTCTACTCGTACCATGCAGGGACCTCTTAAAGGGCCCGAGGGCAGAAATAATAATTTTTTCCACACTCCAAATTAAGAACCAGGCAGTATCTGACCACGAAGTGCTCTATGGGAATCAACTTGCTTCCATCTTTGTTTTTTAAAACAATATGGGACTAAAAGGCAGAATTTGAAATTAAAATTATCCTGCTTCTAAGAATTGGCACATGGCAGAGAAAAGAGAGCTATCCTCGTACCAATCAATGGCTATCCTTGGTTTTGTTTTTGTTTTTGTTTTTTCAACCCAGGCCGCTTCTAGCACCTGGAAAACTTTTGTGGGCTTATGTGCATCTTCAAAAGAACTCCCAAGCAGATAATCCTTGGGCATCCAACATCATTAGAACTGTGCACAGTGGCTCTGATCTGCCCTTGGGAAATTAGATCCTGAGAAAAGACCTGTTTATGTTGTAATACAGTTTTGAGATTTGTGCTGAAAATTACATAGTTCTAGTCTCTTGAAACGTGGTCAAGAAGGGGCATACTGAGTGCTGGAGAAACATAATTTAAAACAAAATATTCTTCCAACCCAGAAAATCTTTCCGTAAGGGTGAAGAGAAAGAATAACAGTTTAAATCTTTAATAAGCATTAAACCAGAATGGAATGCACATCCCATGCCATTCTCTAAGAGATTGCAAAGATAGAAAGAAATCTCACCTTTTTGTATAGTCAAGCAGATACAACCCGTTGCATACAAGTTCTCAAGATTAACAATAAGTAGTCCTCAAGTATGAGGACTTGACAACACCACTTGTCACACACAGTTCATCCTAAAATCACTTGGTGGTTGAAGTGACCATCTGTGTTGGCTGATTGGCTTTTTCCAAAGAAAAAATAAACTTCTCATATCTTTATGATAGTAGATTTGCCACTTGGAGCAAGATTTCCACAGAAGTTTGGCTCTTACACTCCTACAGAAACTTGGAGATAGGGGTGGGGCATGAAAATAGGGTTTGGAGGCAGGGAACATAAGGCCAATTCACACTTCAGCTATAACAGGAAACATGCTCTCCATAGGGCATACACAGTAAATGACTTTGTAGCTTTACTTAATCTTCTTCATTTACATAGGGCGTACCCCAAGCAGAGAGTATTTAAACTCCAAAAAACCTCTGTAACAGGGTCTTTGAGCCACTATATTCAGGCCCAATCCCATGTTGTAGAGTATACTTTCATTTTCTTTTCTTTTTTTTTTTTTGAGACAGAGTTTCACTCTTGTTGCCCAGGCTGGAGTGCAATGGTGCGATCCCGGCTCACCTCAATCTCCGCCTCCTGGGTTCAAGTGACTCTCCTGCCTCAACCTCCGGAGTAGCTGGGATTACAGTCATGAGCCAACACGCCCGGCTAATGCTGTATTTTTAGTAGAGATGGGGTTTCACCATGTTGGTCAGGCTGGTCTCGAACCCCCAACCTTAGGTGATCCGCCTGCCTTGGCCTCCCAAAGTGCTAGGATTACAGGTGTGAGCCACCACGCCTGGCCAAAAAAAAGAAATCCCTTCATTCCTTCCTTGCTTTGTGCGTTTTGTCCAATTATTTGTTCAAGATGCCAAGAACCTGGACACTCTCCACCATTACCATACTTTGGTGAGCCAGCCCGGAGGAAGAGGTAAGCCCAAAGTTTGGGATTTATTCTTCTCCTTTCTTTTTTTCCTTTATGCTCCATACAGGGGAATCTCTTTCTCTCTCTTTTCCTTTCCAGCTTGGTTTAGGAGGACACTCTGTGGGTCCTGCAGTCCTCAGCCTGCCCAAAAGGGACGCCCTTGGCAGAGGTTCTGAGGTCGAGTATTAAGCCCTTCTTAGAATTTTCCCTCCCAGTTGCAATGCTGCTTGGCCCCAAAATTGTTTAGAATATGAAGTTTACTGTGTAATGAGAAAGTGGAATGGCATTGCCGTGTCCAGGCTGTTGTGCTGCTGTTCTAAGCAGGGGGGCAGGGGGCCTGGTTAACAGGTGATGCCCTCCTTTGGTACTGTTTGACCCCAGTGCTCCTTGGAGTCTGGGGAGATTTAGCCCTTAAAAATTAAACTGCCGTGGAGACCGCTTTACCGAAAATTCTGGTTCACAACCTTCCTCGGGTTATCTATTGGGGCAAAGTAAAACCTGCAAGCTTGTAGTGCTATCTCACAGCTAAGGTTCCAAGCTACTAGATCTTCATTTATATGTGTGTATGGATGTCTAGATGTGTTTATTTGTATGTACACATACTATTATATGTTGTGTCTACCAAACTGGCTTATAAGTAAAAGAGCGCTCACAAGTTAAGTAAATGAGTCTAAGCAATTTTCAAGCTCACGTGACCTAAGTATAACTTTACTAAACAAGCTGGCTTTAAAACTATTGGTGGAATAAAAATAGAAATGCCTTCGTGATTGTCAGCATACATTTTGTCTGGATTTTACGTTTGTCTTTGCTGGATATTTTAAAATGTCAGTGTGTTAATTCAAGCTGGGAGATGCTAAGAGAGAGGCTGCCTCCCATTTTGTTCACAGTCTCACTGAGATAAATGCACATCTGATTGCTTCCTTTAGAAAGGCTAATCAGAAACTCAAAAGAATGCAACCTTTGTCTCCCACCTGTGATCTGAAAACCCCCAAGCCCCACTCCTTACCTCAAGTGGTCCCGCCTTTTGGAACCAAACATATGTTGATTGATGTCTCCTGTCTCCCTTATTAAAAGTAAAAATTAAGTACAGTGAATGAGATAAATGTTTTAGGTAAGTTTTTTATGTGAATTAAAATCTTAAGGTTATTTTTGATGCCCATTTAGTATCTGGATCATTTCCAATTAAGAAAGGGCTGTGATAAGGGGAAAATTCTGGATTTTTTCTATCTATAAATATGCATATCTAATTCTCTTTAACATGTAATTCTGTACACAAAATGTGCCAGAAAGGGTTATGCTGTTAGTGAAAAAAAGAAAAAGAATAATTTTATCTAATGCAGACGTTATCTAAAAGTTCAAATTACAGATTTGAAAGGTTATTTATGAAACAATGTAGTAAGAAATCATTAAGTAGGGGAGGAAGATGTGGAAAAATTTAAATAATAGAATATTCTTTAAATCCAGATAAAGAAATGATTATATTTGGCTAAGAAACATTTTCATAGTTAAAGTCCTTGGTCTTAATTAAAGTAAAATAAGAGGTATTGTAAAGAAATGCATCGGCAGTTTGTCAATTCTTTTTTAACATAGTTAAGCATGAAGCTGAATTTAGCATAAAGCCAAATTTCACATCCATGCTTGCATTGCTTCACACCACGTTTGCCGTTTTGCATGGATAGTGCTGGAGTACTTATTTTGGCCATAAGCCTAAAGCGAATGTCTTAATTGCACTGAATGTACAATGATATTGGTGAACTCAAGGATATTGGATTGTGTATCAGCAATAAAATATTCATTATGTGGGTTTTTTTTTGGGGCCCTGAGTCTGTAGCCTCTAGGGTAAATTGAGTAGGAAAATTTAGGGTTGGTTTCCTGCTTACTTGTTTTTGCTTCTGGTTTTCATTCATTTACTGTTTATTCTCCTCTGGCTTTGCTTGGGTATCCATATATATATAAAACCATGACACTTTCTAGTTTCTAGTGGAAGGCTTTTATTTGGTTCTGTTATTTTGTTTTCTATACATTTCTAGTGAGTCATCATCTGTTTCATTTATCTGGCATTCCTAAGCTACCTTTGTCGGGCTGCAGGAATTAATGGAACACACCAGTTTCTAAGCAAACTTTTTGGATTTTAGGCTTCCTGATGCTGTAAGTGTGGTTAGTATACTCTCACAAGTAGAATTTGAGTCATATTTCTCTATCTCTGCCTAGTTTTTCCAAAATTTGTAAACTATCTATGAATATTCTTAATTCATGGCAATGTGTTTGTTTGCATACAGTCAAGCAGGGTCACCAGGACCGCTCAGGGAGAGAGAACCCAGAAACCTAGCATGCCAGCAAAAGGGTAAGAATTTCTAACCACTCAGTCTCTGGCCTCTTGCTCTCTGTGCAAACTGGTTAATCTCCTCTGTGAAGTCTTTAATTGACTGCTTTAATAATAATAACTTAACTCAAATATTTTGTCAGAAAAATAGAAAGTGTAACGCCTGTCAGTTCACAAGACTTTAGCAATCTTTGGGAAATAAAGATAGTTTTCAAGATTATTGGTAAAATAGGATTGTCTTCAAAATGTAAACACATGGTCTAAATTATGGTCAAATATTAGGTTTGCTAAATGCTTGCAGGTCATAAATTGCTTCTTTGGCTTTTGAAAATTGTTTAACTTGCCTCCCTTCTGATACCACTCCAATGAGTGGAGGAACACCAGTTTCTTCGTCTGGAGTTGAATTAGATAAAAATGACACAAAAACATGTGGAGTGGTTTTAAGGAGTGGAGAATTTAACAGGCAAGATAGAAGGGAGAAGAAAGAAGGAAGAAGCTCCCCTGTACAGAGACAGAGGGAGAGAGGCTCAAAAGGCGAGAGAGGAGACCCCACGTTCAGGAATACCAGCCAGTTATATGAGATGGCTGGATAAGGCGGTGTCTGATTTGCATAGAATTCAGGGGATTGGTTTGACCAGGCATGTCATTCACGTAGCCAGAGAAAAAAACTGGCCCCCCTACTCTAGCCTTTTAATATGGAAATGCAGGGTGCCATGATGTTCTTACACACATGGGGTTATGTGGGGGCAACCATGCTGTCAGACACATGTGGGGGCAAGGGCAAGAGGACAAAAGTGGGAATCACCATGATGGGTGGACTCAGTTTCTAAAGGCTGGCGTTTGCATATTAAAGGTTGACCACCCTGCTATGTTGGGTGGACCCAGTTTCTAATGGCCTGCATTTGCATATCAAAGGTTGTCTGCCCGGGTCTAAGAGCCAGGGCTTTTCTGCTAGACAAACATTTCTGGAGCTGCTTTAAAAATGAAAACTTTCCAAGGACCCCTTTTCCTCTCTATCTGCCTAAAATAACTTAACTCCTACCACACTTCTAGCTAGGTAAGGCCTGGGGTTGTGTGGAATTGGCCACACCCTTTTTTGTTTGCTGGAAAACAATAAAGTTTGCTGGAAACAGGCAAACCTTATCAGAACACAACCCACGAGGTTTTACATTAAAGTTAAAATTGCTAAGAGTTGCCGTTGTAACATGCAATTAAGACTATTAGAAACAGTTTTACATGCAAGATGTGTAAAAACAGTAGAATGTGTTTTTTGTTGTTGTTGTTTTGTAAAATGTTATAAAAGGTTTTTTGCTTCTTTAAAATTTCTGAGTCATCATTTTGGTAAAATAAATAATTTATGGTAATCTAGAATTCCAAAATCAAACTTCAGTTTCAAAATTGCCTTTCCTAATGCCTGGCTTTCTAGATGGATCAGAGGGCCCCTGAATCATCCAGAAAAGAGGTAAGCAGGATTATTTGACCTGTTTAGGTACGTGGGATTGCCACAATGATGTTCAATCTTCTTTAGTTTATATTTTTGTGACTAATACTAATATATATTCTAAAATTGTATGGGATTTCTAAAATTCTAATGTCTAAGTACATACTACCAGTCACGATTATATTTATCATGCTAAATTATTGTAAACCACAGAAATGACCAAATTTCCTTCTCAGTGGTATGCACCTAATTTGCAAAAACAACTGGTATCCAAGAGGATATAAGTCTAATGTTAATTAAGCATGGAGAAACAGGATGGCCACCTTGTCCTTCCTGAGTCCTTAAAGCTTTTATTATTAAAAGTTATGAATTCCATGACTCATCATGGAAAAGATATAATGATCCTAATTGAATACATTGGTTGGTGACTTCCCAATTACTAAAATAGTTTATAACCAATGCTTGATACCATATTTCTGGGAAACAATTAAAGCTTCAGGTACATTTGGTCACCTGATGGGACATTTAAACATTTTATTAAAGGATTTCATTCAATTGTTATTTTCAATGAATGTTTTCTGGTTGTATAAAAGCTTTTCCATGCAAGAAGGCTGATTTTATAACAGTAAATTATTACGCTACAGTGTATTTTCACAGGTAAAGAAAGCTTTTTATGGTTTAAATCTTCTGGAAACATTAGAGAAAGACTGTCATTGCTATCCACACTACAACAAAACTTCATCCACACTACAGCAAGACTTTGGGCTTTGGATTCATGGCCTCAAAACTGAGAAGGGTCCCTCCACATTTTTGGAACTGTGCACCCATTGGAACCCTTGAGGGAAAGCTAACCAGGGAAATTTGAAGAGGATGCCATCCTTGATGGGAACAGCTTTTCCCAAGGTCACAGATTAAGACTTATATTGTCATGAAAATCTTACCTTTGAATTTTGTTGTTGTTGTTTTTTGTTTGTTTGTTTTTGTTTATGCCTCTATGAACAAGAGAAGTGGAAAAGGGGTCTGTTATGTGCACTAATGGGGTGTACTTTTATTTGTGAAGGAGTTGGCAGGCAGCCTTATACATGGATTACCTTATACTCTGATAGTTAAAAGATGAAGGCCCAATGTAGGTAAGAAACTTTAAGGGTACATATGTTACCTCATAATCAGTCAAAAACAAAACATTGGTTCACTCCTCTTAACCCACATCATGGGTTAAAGAGAACATTCCCAGAAGGCCTTCACTCTTCTAAAAGGCATCATTTGTTAGGTCCTTTTTCCATAATTTAAAGTAAAAGAAGCAATGATTAGAAACGTATCCCTCATGATAGGTTTTATAGCAAATTCTACTGTAAACGCTACAGTTACTCAACAAACTTTACATTCTCTTGTGAAAGTTATGCTAAATAATAGAATTAGCTAAACAGAAAAGTATCTGTGCAGCTGCTGGCACTTGTGGCCTATGGAGAAATATATCAAATAAAGATTATAGAAATTTGGTGGTAGGGGATTGACAAAAAAATTGCTTAGCCAAGTGAGTAAACTCTTTATCTAGCTCATTCTTTGATCTATTTGATTGCAGGCGGTTTGGTTTATGGGAACCTTCGGTAAAGGGCACACTTCAAATTCTTGGTATGATCCTCCCAATAATCATAATAATAGTCTCCCTGGTGCGTTGTATTCTCTCAAAGGTTTTAAATGCTTGCATGCAGCCATCTCTAGAATGTCATATGGTCTCTCTTCAACTGGAATAACAGGAGCTGAAAGAAACGTGCAGCAATGAGGGCACCATAACCTATAAATAATGTGCTGAGGCCGGAAACCCAAAATGGTGGAACTGAGAGTGGCGCTAAAGCCCTAAGTTTTGTTCATACTCTCAACTAAGTGAGAACCTGTTCAAAAAGGGGGAATTTTTTTAAACAAAATTCTGGGAGGCCATTGTTGTGGACTGAGCTCATTTACTAGGCGCCAACAAACCAAACCAAAATGGAGTCGCTTGTGCTAAGACTGTAAGAAAACACAGATTCTAGAACAAACCAGGTTTTGTTCTTTCTCCTGCAAATCTTTACAACAAACATTTCTGGTAGCATAGGTATCAACCCTCTGAAGTTCCCACTACATCTTTTGACCAAGTTCATTTCCTCTCACCTAGAGATCATCAAGCTTCAGCTAATCACACAACAATGGTTCCAGCTAGTTCCAGGTGAAGATACCACCCCTGGCCATGCCTCACTAGACAGAACAGGGTGAGAGTTCTGTGGTCCCCAATAGGTAGGACTATGTCCCAAGTCAGCATGAAGCAGTTACAGAAATCAGTCTCTCCGCCTCCCATAAAGATTTATGGGGATCACATCTCTCAGGGGTAGATGAGGCAGGAAAATAGGATCTGGAGGCAGAGAACATAAGGCTGATTCACACTTCAGCTATAACAAGAAATATCCTCTCTATAGGGCGTACACAGTAAATGACTTTGTAACTTTACTTCATCCTCTTCATTTACATAGGGTGTGCCCCAGATGGAGGGTATTTAAACTCACAAAAACTCTGTAACAGAGTTTTTGAGTCCCTATGCTCAGGCCTGCTCCCATACTGTGGGGTGTACTTTCATTTTCAATAAATCCCTTCATTCCTTCCTTGCTTTGTTTGTGCATTTTGTCCAATTCTTTGTTCATGACGTCAAAAACCTGGACACCCTCAGCCATTAACAGGGGTACTATCTTCCTTGATGATTACATTGCAAAGATATGGTCCCAGGTCTCTGAGAAAGATATTCCTGGGTCTTAAAGCTGGCAAGAGGTTTATTTGGCTTAAAAAAAATTTGCATACATTTCAAAGATTCAGAATAAGAACTTATAATTACAAGTTTTCTAAAGTAAATGCTCCAAGAAAAGGGAGAGAATGTCTCCTTATTTTCAACAGGAGGATTTTATTTTAAATTTGTATTTACCTATATGTGAGCATCCTGGTATGGAGTGTATATTATCTAGGCACAGACGTGTGTGTATGTGTGTGTGTGTGTGTGTGTGTGTGTGTGTGTTGTGGGTGAGGGATGTACACAAGTTATCCCCAGGAACCCAGAGCAGACTCTAAAATGCATGGCCTTCTGGACAGGGGTCACTTTTGTCCTGGTGTAAGGATATTAGTGCTTTGGACACCTTTTTTATCTGCTTAACTTGTATCTTATCTGGGAAGTAAAAGGAATAGTCAGCAATGCTCTTGAGAATAGCTGTCACACATGCCCTGTTGTTCTTATTTTTATTTTCATTTGGCCACAAGCCACAGGGCAACTGAGAAGATCCCACTCCAAGTCCTATCACATATCCATAGAAGCTAAAGGAGTATGTTCACCCTAACATAGAGCATGTTCATTTCTGAATGGTTGGCTTTATGCAATTGGTTTCCCTTTTAGCTACTTTAATGACTACGTTCTTCAAAATTTATTTTTATATTAAATATGTAATATTATATATTAATTTATATATTAATGTGTATTATTATCTATAAAGAACATAGACACTAAAATAGCTAAAAGGGAATCCAATCACATAAGGCCAATCATTGATTTATAAATTATATATAAAAGATAAGTGACATATACATATGTATACATATATATACACATCTCTAATGAATGAGTATATATACACATATTTCAGATATATGAGTATATATATATACTTAATTGCACTAAAAATGTATTTTAGAATCTGTAAAATGAAAGAGAACTCATAAATTAACTCCATTGAAATCTTTAATCTCTAATGAATGAGTCCCCTAAATCATATACATATATATTTATTTTAGTTATAAAATAACATTATTTGAATAAAGAATAACTATTGGTTTAGTTTACATGTATAATAAAATATTCCTCAAATAAAGATGTTTGACCAATGAAACTTGATTATAGATACCAATTTCAGAATCTGAAATAAAATATTTTATTATAAAATAATTAGTCATAAACTAAGTCTTTGAGTATATATGAAATATATATTTTATATATATAAATATGTATGTTATATAGCATATGTGAGTATATATGAAATATACATTTTATATATATAAATATGTATGTTAGATAGCATATATGAGTTTATATGAAATATGTATTTTATATATAAATATATATTTATATATAACACATATGAGTATATAAAATATATAAAATATACTCATATATGAGTATATATAAGTATATAAAGTATATATATGAAATATATATATTATATATAAATATGTATGTTATATAGCATATATGAGTATATATGAAATATATATTTTATATATATAAATATGTATGTTATATAGCATATATGAGTATATATGAAATATGTATTATATATAAATATATATTTATATATAACACATATGAGTATATAAAATATATAAAATATACTCATATATGAGTATATATAAGTATATAAAGTATATATATGAAATATATATATTTTACATATATACTCATATATTTTTATATATAAATATATATACATATATACTCATATATATGAGTATATAAAATATATATAAAATATATATACTCATATATATACTCAAAGACTTAGTTTATGACTAATTATTTTATAATAAAATATTTTATTTCAGATTCTGAAATTGGCATCTATAATCAAGTTTCATTGGTCAAACATCTTTATTTGAGGAATATTTTATTATACATGTAAACCAAACCAATAGTTATTCTTTATTCAAATAATGTGTCATTTTATAGCTAAAATAAATGTATATATCATTTAGGGGACTCATTCATTAGAGATTATTTAAAGATTTCAATGGAGTTGATTTATGGGTTCTCTTTCATTTTGCAGATTATAAAATACATTTCTAGTGCAATTAAGTGTCCTGCATAAAATCACAAAATTAATAAAGGATGGAGACAGCAATAAACTCCACATTCCCCAACTGCTAGCTCAGCACTTAATCTATTACATAAGAATAGAATCACAGAATCAAAATGTGGAAAAAAAGAAGACATGAAAAAAGCCTTTTATTGAAATCTCAGTTACTTGAAATCAAGAAAAAAAATTTACTTTTTCCCTATATTTGAGTACAGACATTCATAACTAGCTAATATGCAAAATGGACTAATACTGAAAATAAGTGGGACAAATAGAAATCTTTCAAATGTGCATTTTTATTTTTTGAATGATAGATTTTGAACTGTAATGCAGGTTAATATACTATTTACCTACATATTTGAGTTCAGTGATACAGCAATATACTCACATACTACAAGTTATATGAAATGAGTTTCTTATTTAGAGATAGGCAGCAAGAGACAAAAGAAGCCTAGCATCTATCATGAGCCAGTCCCTCAAGGCTCAAGAAACTGACCAGGATGGATGGAGTATTGACTGCATGTGCCTTACTTGCACCACAGCTGAGGGACGCTGAAAGGCATCCCTGGGTCATATACCTCATGGGCAACGTGACTGACTGGGCAAAGCTTTAAAGGAATCCTGTTTCCAGGTGAGAGAGGAACAAAGCTGGGGTGAGAGAGGAACAAAGCTGGGGCTGTCCTGGGCATTTCCTCTGTATCGCAAGATGTTACATTTTTTAGGTGGAACAGGAACAAGACCCAGGCCATTTCAGGCATTTCCTTGCTGTCTTAGCATACTGCATCCCAGCACATTCTACGGTTATTCCTGAGAACTACAAGCTAAGAACTTGGAGTGGGGATAACTGGGTTTTTCCAAGGCTACCCAGAGAACTGACCTGTATTAACTTTTAAAACATGAAATAAATGTACTTATCCATAAGGCAAATATATGCATTTACAAATGTTTTTTAGCTGATAGGATATTTTATAACAATTTGATTACCAAACATCGGGCATAGGTACAGTCCATCATCTTCCCAAACAATAATGGAAACCTAAAATGCTAGCCATCACAGGTACTAGTAATAACAGCTTAAACAAAGCTACTACAGTCAATTTCCTAATGCATAAGGTGATAATCATAGCTGCCTCTTCTACCACCCATTCATTCCATATTCCCTTATCTTTGATCGGTATCATGACTGCCTGGAGTGTGCCAACCTTCATTACTGCAGTTACCTACTATTTGATTGTCTTCTCTGGAATGAGTTGCTACAATTTCAATTGACCAGGACTATTGTGCAATTGGAGTACTAAGAACACCTCATTAAATTTCTTGTTCCAGATTCTCCTCTTTATCCTCAGCATACATCAGTAACTCTGTGTCTCCTGGATAATTGGGATCAAGCTCACTAGGTCATAGAGTGATACTCTTTTTTTTTTTTGTCTGTTGCTTTAGGGTTACAAAGAGCCCAAAATACCCAGGGGATAGTCTCTGCTGCCAATTAATTGGAGCCCTGACTGGATACCCTGGTGGAAATAGTCCTTGTTTGGCACTAGGGTTCAGATGATTAATTCCGAGGCTAAAAATTCTTAAACTGTGTTCTCTGGTGACATGGAGAAAGCAGTCACTCCTGACTCTACCACTTAGTTCCACGATACATTAGTTCCATGATACATTCATTCTTGCTAAGGCAAGATGGCACTGTCTACTGGATACTGGGTTACAACATATTTCATATAAGTGAGGACTCAACGTACTGGTCAACAGGCCTCAGAGAGTACTGTAACTAAGCTTTCAGCTCATCCCTGGTAGATTAAATTATTTCAGCAAATGTTTAATTTTCTTTTCTCCTATCCTTTTCTCCCTATCCAGCTTCATATGCTTTTCCACCAGTCTGACTTTAGGCTTAACCCTCTGATTTGCTTTAATGGATAGAATATAAACAGAAGTGACTATGCCAATTCTGTGAAGAACAATACTTTAAGAGACATTGTGTGTGTCCTTTCAATCTCTTACATTCCTGATATAAAATAATTGGCATGACTTCAGCCTCCACCTATACATGAGATATGTGAGGAACAATCCTACACTACAGCTCAACTAAGCCCAACCAAGCCCAGGAACGATCTGCAGATCCACAGATAGCCAGCCAGATGCTGATGTAGACATAATGATTGTCTTTAAGCCACTGAAGATTTGTGGTGATTTAGAGCTGAAATTGCCTTTCCAATTCCATCAAGGCAGCTGCTTCTGGGTGATGGGGTATGTGATATCACTGGGAAATGCTGTGGGCATTATGCCATTGTCCCACTGTCTTCCCTCTAAATTGGCAATTGTTAAAGGTGATACTGAGTGAAATACCGTGGTGATGCCACAAATGGAAGCATAAATGCACAAATTGTAGGCCTGGCAGAAGCACTGCATGGAGGAGAGAAAAATCCATACCAGACTCAGTAGTCCGCTCTTTTAAAAGAAACAACTGCTTCATTCATGGTGGGAAAGCATAATGTAATCAATTATATTGTCACCAGGTTGCTGAGTGATAACCTCAGGACAGGGTTTGCAAGCTAAAGCTCTTGGGTAAAGTCTTGTCTCTGTTTTTAACAAAATGTAATTGAATTACAACTACACTCGATATATTTACTGCCTATGGCTGCTTTTGGGTTATAATGGCAGTCAGAGTTCAGTAGCTGCATAGAGACAATATGGCCCACAAAGCCTAAGATATTTACTATCTAGCTATTTGCAGAGAAAGGTTGTAGACCCCTGCCTTAGCAGTTATATGCTAGATCCATATCTGAAGCTTACCTTTGATTTCTGCTGTTGGTAGGTTGATTACCCAGCACATAGTTAGATGCATTTAAATGAGAAAAAAAGGGAATTTATAGCTCTTATCTCTGCAAACCAAACTGATACAGCTCTGATGACTGGGGGAACACCACGGTTCTCGGACTTGCGCCGATAGGATTAATGACATGGACACACATGGAGTGGTTTTAAGGAGCGAAAAGTTGAATAGGCAAGAAAGAAGGAAGAAGAAAACAGCTCCCCCGCACAAAGACAGAGGGAGGGGGGATTAGAACAAAGAAAAAACCCCGTGTGCAGTGGAAAAGTGGCTGTCCCCGGTGTAGGTGGTGTCTGATTTGCAAAGGGCTCAGGTGATTGGTTTGACCAGGCATGTTACTCATGTAGCCAATGAAAAAACTGGCCCTCCCACCCTAGCTTTTTAATATGCAAAAGCAGGGCACCATGATGTTCTACACAAGTGGGGATATGTGGGGGCGGCCATGTTGCCAGGCACATGTTGAGGCAAGGACAAGAAGAACACGGTGGGAATCTCCATGTTTGGGTGAACCCAGTTCCTAATGGACTGCATTTCCACATCAAAGCTTGCCTGCCAGGCTCTAAAAGCCAGGGCTATCCTGCTAGACAATAAACGTTTCTGTAACTGCTTTAAAAGAAACAAAAACTTCCCAATGACCCCTTTTCCTGTCTGCCTAAAATAATTTCTTAATAACTCCTATAACAAAAGCACTTTGGGAGCATGGGCCCTTTGAGCAATCACCACATTGGTTGAGAAAAGAACAGCAGGATATCTATGGGATAATTCCTACCTCTCCTGTAGACCTCTTGGCCATCTATTTTCTAGTGATAGTCTTTTAAATATCTGACCAGTTGACCAACTATTTAGCTATGAGTAATGGATCGGTATAGATCCACATATCAGGCTATTCACTTTGTACACCAAGTGGACAATTATTTGTATCACCTGATGTTCTGATCACTGAAGAGTATTTTCTTTCAATGTTTTCTTTCTGGGCCACCCAGGAGTGAGGATGCAGTAATCAAATGCAGGCACAGAATGCACTGGAGTTGTTCTTAATAAGCTTAGATTTTTGACCAGGGAAGTATGACACAGAGACACAAGGACAAATGAGTATAGAGTATAGATATATGCAGGGTAGAGACAAGGAAATCAGACAAGAAATTTCTTGTCTCTACCAGTGGTAAAAGGAGTACCAGTGGTATATCTGCTTGTACGTAAATCATAGCAGGTATCATTTTTGAGGGATAAAAAAAGAAAAAGAGTCTCCTGGTAGCAATGAGTAAGTAGTATAACTATTGCACTTCCAGACCCTGCATTTTGTGTAATGTAGGAGGGAAAAAAAGACAGAACTATAGCAAATAAGTAAGAGTATCACTTCATGGGCATACTGCCTGAGATTGTAGCTGGGTTTCCTCACACAGTGTGGCATTGTCTATGTTAGCTAAAAGCAAATTCACTGTTCCTCAGATTTATTATATGTAATTTGGTGCTAATGCTAGTACCTATCTCATATATTTGTGTGAAAAATAAGTTCTCTAATAAATGTAAAGTGTAAAATATTGTGTGGCCCATCATATGCATTCATTAGTATTTGAGAAAGCGATAGAGGATATGGGCAGCTGGTCATCTGTGCAAGAGATAAAGGAATGCTCACTACAAATCCTCAGTGGCTTAAAAAAAAAACACACAGTCACCATTTGTACATCAAAGAAGTCTGACATTCTGGAAAGTTGTTCTAAATGGTAAGTACTGGGATCCAAAAAGTATCTTGGAAGGTTTATAGAGAAGAACCTGTGGAGAAACTGAGTCTTACCCAAGCAGATGTGAGGGTATGAGTCTAGCTGGGGGTGACTGACCTGGGAGGCTAGGACATCTGGGAGAGAGAAGATGTACAATGAGACTCCTGTGTCAGACTTGGCAAACTTTGTCTGTAAAGGGACAGATCATACATATTTTAGGCATTGTGGGCCACATGATCTCACTTCAAAACTATTCAGTTATTTAGTGCAAAAGTAGCTGTAGGCAATATGTACACAAATGGCTGTGGCTGTGTTCCAATAAAACTTTATTTATAAATACAAGTGGTAGACCACATTTGGTTTGTGGCCATAAGTTGCTGTATTTGTTTGTTACAGTTGCTGTAACAAAGTACCACAACCTACATACATTTATAACATTTATTTTCTTATGTCAAGGTGCCCACAGGGCTGATTTATTCTGAGGGCTGTCAGGGAAGAATTTGGTACTGGCCTCTCTTCCTTGCTGGTAGGTGCTTTCTTCTCTCTTTGTCTTTTTGCATAGTGTTCTCCCTGTGTGCATTTCTGTCTCCAAAGTCCTCCTTTTTATAAGAACACAGGTCATACAGGATTAGGGCCTATGCTAATGATCTCAACATAATTACCTTTGTAAAAACCCTGTGTCCAAATAAGGTCCCATTCTGAAGTACTGGGGGTAAGGACTTTAGCCTATACACTGGGGGACACAATTCAATCCATAACAGTTTTCCACTCTTACTCTGAAATGATGATCTATATTCAATCCTAAATAATACCTTATTTTCTTAGGCCATGTGGAAAACAATTATTAGTCATTTTCTTATAATCTTATATGATTTTTTGCTGAAAATTTGAAATAGGAGTAGAAAGCTGATCTCTTTCATCAGCAACTCACTAACATCTGCTTTATTGTAGCTCTTTTACCTGGTTGCAAACAAAGCTCTGACTTAGGTTTTCTTTTCTTTTTTTTGAGACGAACTCTTGCTCTGTCACCCAGGCTGGAGTTCAGTGGCATGATCTCGGCTCACTGCAACCTCCACCTCTCATGTTCAAGCAATTCTCCTCCCTCAGCCGCCCAAGTAGCTGGGATTACAGGTGCCCACCACCACGCCTGTCTAATTTCTGTATTTTTAGTAGAGATGGGGTTGGGTTTCACCATGTTGGCCAGGCTGGTCTCGATCTCCTGACCTCGTGATCTGTCCGCCTAGGCCTCCCAAAGTGCTGGGATTACAGGTGTAGGCCACCGCGCCTGGCCCGACTTGGATTTTCATTACAGCTGATTCAATAAGAAAACCATGTCTCAAGTCCAAGAAGTGGCTGAATCCAGAAATCAGAGTCACTGGCTGGTCAGGTCAAGAGATTCAGGGTTGTCATATGGCTGATGTGGACCATGCACTTCATCACTTCCACAAATGCTATCTAAAGAAGACCTGCAGAGCATATATGCTCCTGAATTGAAAACACCCTTGTGAGGTTCTGAAGATGGCTACTTGTCTAACAGTGACATCCCTCAGCATGATGTCAGCATAGCCCACACAGCTCCATGCAAACCTCCCATTCACCTCCCTATTTCCTCCCACCTGCCACAATGCAGCCCACACCACTCTGCTCATGGACTAAGAGACCGTTGACAAGTAGGGTGGGATTTGTTTTGTGCGGGGGGAGATGAACATTAAAAATGGGGAAGAGAGTAAAGACATAAAGTTGGCAGGAAGGTATTTTCATGAGGTAATTGTTTAGTGAGGAAAGTAAAATATGAAATAAACACGTTTATGTATATGCATAAATATATATTTATACATGCACATAAATAAAATTGCATATTTAATACAATATATGGACAATATGAATACATTTTCAAACCATGTCTGGACAACCTATCTGTGTATGTGTGTGTGTGTCTGCGTGTGTGTGTGTGTGTGTGTGTGTGTGTGTGTAGCAGGATGCATATTCGGTGTTTTGTGGTTTTGGGTAAACGTATGATGTTGGGAAGGGTGAAGTCACTTAGGAGAGGTGGCAAAGTGATAAGAAGAGAAAGGCCAACCCCACAACTAAAAGAGTGAAATTAGATTGAAATGAAATACCTATATTTTTATTACATTTATGCATGTATTTAAAATTATGCATATGCGTGGGAATATATCTATATAAAAAGCTTCAAAAGGTGGTGAGGCAAATGCGGAGGTCTGGAAACTAAAGGAGCAGCTTTGCCTCCTTCACAGTTTGCAATGAGCCATGTTCAGCATGTGCTTGCTTTGGAGGCTTCCAGGAAGCTTGCAAGAAGCAAAAATAGTTTTTCCACTTAACATTTTCCATGTAGCCAAACGTCTTCACAGTGTATTATAAGTGACTTAGTGAAGTTATGATTATTTTCTTATGTAAGTGAAAAACTGGTGTATCTTGGCACCCCCAATTAGAATTATTAGGCAATAAAAGCAAAAGTTAGCAAGCTTAAAGCAATCATATATAATCGTAAGACTGAGCCCTTACATAGCTCTTACTATGGGCCAGGCACTTCTGAAACCATTTTAATGTATATTTACTCCTTTAATCCTCCCAGGGAAGCTATGAGGCAAATGATGCTTTTAACCACATTTTTAGGATATAAGAAAATCACATTTATTTTCTGCGCTATGCAAGAAACAGCTAAAAATTAAGCAGCTTAAAATTACAAAGTATTACCTCGTAGTTTCTGAAGGCCAGGAGTCGGGGCATGACATGGCTGGATTCACTGCTCAGGAGACCACACAGCTAAAATCAAATTGCCAGCCATGTGATGGTTCTCATTTGGAGCCCAGGGTTTGTTTCTAAACTTATGTAGGTTTTGGCAATTCTCTTCTTTGTAAGAATTCTCTTTATAAGGCTGAGGTCCTCAACTTCTAGCGGCTGCCCCTCTCCATAGACAGCTTGCAATGTGGCTGTTTGCTTCACATCTACTGGCCTCAAAGAAAAATACCTGCTAATGCTTCAAATCAATCTGAAAGACTTTTTTTTTTTAACCTGTAGACTGTCTTTAAAATGGCTGACCTGATTAGCTTAGATTCACCCAGGATGATCTCCTTTTTGATTAACTTAAAGGCAACCAATTACTGACTTAATCATGGAAATAAAATCCCATGCTATTCACAAGTCTCTTCCACACATAGCTTGGAAGATATTAAACAGGGCATGTATACTAAGGGCAGAAATCTTGGGGGACATTTTAAATTCCTGCCTACCACAAAACCTAAGACCACGAAGGGAGGTGAGGCTTGCTCCATATCACAAAGTCAGTCTACATTTAAATTCCATGTTGAGAATCATTATGTTATATTATGTAATGAAAGAGGAATTTCAGCTTTTCGATGTTATCTTTTAGATATTGTATTTGGTGTCAAGAAAAGTTAAGACTGAGATTTTCCCCTACTTGCAAACTAACAAGTTATTCTTCCCTAGTTACATGGGGGCTAGAAGGAGACACAATACTCCTGCGTGAAAGACAAAGGACACTTTATTACAGGAATAGCAGTAGCCAGAGTATCAACATTTGTGTTGGTTTTTTGACCCTCAATTTCTATAGGGTGACATAAAGACCATGTGATATCTGCACATGTATTGGATTGCATTACTGGAGGAAAAGAAAGCACTTTATTTAGCGAACTATATCTCTTTTGCTAGACACTAAGTTGGCCTGACGCTTGCCTTATGGAGAGATATTATCTTTATTATACTGGACTGTAAGCAAACTTCATTTTCTCTGTAGGGAGATACTATCTTTATTTTCCAAGGCAGTTTCCTACACAGCCATTCTTGAAAAGCTAGTGCTGAACAGAGTCAATGCTTCTACTTAAAAGTATGTGAAAATATGAGACCTCTTGAGAATGACTGTCCAATCATATCCACCCTTTGTTTCTACAGTCTAGGTTTCTAGTAAATTTTCCCATAATTACATTGGCCTTTGGAATTAATCTTACTGACTGAGTCTGGAATCAAAGCCATTCCATTTGTCCTATAAGGTCTTTAATTAAATTTGCAACCAATAACACAGCAAAGATCAAGATGAGTCCAATCTTCAGCACTGACCTCAAACATGTCCCATTTAGGACCTCAAACAAGACTCCAAATAAACCAACTAAACAAATTTCACAAATCATGAAGTTCTACCTTAACAAATCAGATGGCTTCCTCCTTAATTTTTTATATTGACATTTTCACTTGACCTGAAAATGAATCCAGGTAAGTCAGAGTGAATTCATGATTTCACAGACTCTACCTTGCATAGCAAGGACAATTTTATCATCCATAGCAACACCGGTCAGTGAGTTGCAGATGAACTGAATACTTTACAGGGTCAAGGTAGTGTCTTCCAGGGCCAAGGTAGTATGTTTTAGCTAGAGTCAGGAATATATTTCTTATAACCATTCCTAATTAGAGAATTCCCTTAAAGGGAAAATTGCCCATAGCATGTACACAAACAATGAGTCAGTTATCCCGCTGGGAAGTTGTCCTGAGTAAGCAAATTCATGTGATTTGGGGCAGTAACACTTCTTTTGTTTTTTGTTTTGTTTTGTTTTGAGATGGAGTCTCGCTCTGTCGCCTGGGCTGGAGTGCAGTGGCGCGATCTTGGCTCACTGCAACGTCCGCCTCCCGGATTCACACCATTCTCCTGCCTCAGCCTCCTGAGTAACTGGAACTGCTACAGGGACCCGCCACCACACCTGTCTAATTTTTTGTATTTTTTGTAGAGACAGGGTTTCACCGTGTGAGCCAGGATCTTCTTGATCTCTTGACCTTGCACCCGCCTTGGCCTCCCAAAGTGCTGGAATTACAGGCGTGAGCCACCAGGCCTGGCTTTGGGGCAGTAACACTTAATTCGACTTACTCACTATTAGAAAATGACTCAGGTGTTCAGGGAATACTTCAAATATATATTCTCTCATTAACACATTTCTCCGTAAGTTTCTTCCTGATTGTGATAACTCCCTCTGGAAGATGAATATTTACAGTATACACATGTACAATACCAATTATATATTCAGCCATGAAAGCCAAAACAACAGTACATTAATTAGTCAGAAAAATCCCCACTGATAAGGTTATCTGAGTTTCCCTCCCCCACTGTAAACTTTATCCAAACTCCATCTGTTGAATTTGGGTACCTCCATATCCTGCCAGATAGGACGGTGACTTGGCTGCCTGCAACCAACAGAACTATGAAAGTTAGTGTTTCTCTCCTTCTTGAAGTTCCCCAAAATACTCAGACAGATTGTATTGCTTTTATTACCCTTATGGACAGGGGGTCCTCAATCCCACCCCTAACCATATTTATTCTCATAATAGCTGCATTCAGGTTAGAATGGGATAAAAGGATCATGGTGGTTGGAGGGAGAGAGTGACTCCTCATCATTAAGCAAAAACCATTCACTTTTGCTTTCAAGTGGTAAGGGGTCTGCTGGGCTTCAAACAAACTTTTGACTGCCTTAGGCTTGACTTGTACAGCAGTGGTTTTCCACAGTAGATTAAGGAATCCATCATAATCTGGGGCATCTACTGCCTCATTTTCATGGTAACATCTCTAAAATGTTTGAATGGTTTCAATATAATGGCAAGGAGATTTCTTTCAAGGCTGTAGGTCTCACCACTAAAATTTACTTGGAATTCTTTGGGTCAATGTAATATAATGTAATGTAATGAAAGTTTGTGTCTCTCCAAAATTCATATGTTGAAGGCCTAACCCATAGCACTGCTATATTTGGAGATGGAGCACCTAAGGAAGTAATTAAGTACAAATGAACTCATAAGGGTAGGGCTCTGATTCCACAGAATTAGTGTTTTTAAAAGAAGAGACCCCAGAAAGTGTGTTGTCTCTCTCTCTCTGCTCCTATGCACCAAGGAAGGGTCATGTGAAGATACAGTGAGAAGGTGGCTGTCTACAAGTCAGGAAGAGAGTCCTCACCAGGAAGTTGGTTGGTAGATATGGAATGTCTAGTCTCCAGAACTGTGAAAAAATAAATTTCTGTGTTTAAGCCTCTCAGTCTGCAGCATTTTGTTATGGTAGCCTGAGCAGACTAAGACAGTTTAGATTCTCATTTTCCGGTGTTTCACCTGCATTAGCATTGTAAACCTAGTCAGGGACAGTGAAGGCCTAAATGCATATCAATTTCTCTTCTATGATTTCCCACAAGAGTGCTTTTTCTCAGAGAAATCACCCCCAAAAGACCAAATCTCCCCTATAATAATCAGGGTCTGCCGCAAAAATCTCCAAGACTCTTTACTGCAATGTTTAACTATATCGGAGGTTGTCATGATATACTGCAGAAAGAGCTAAGCCTTCAGACAACCCAGCTATTGCTACTTTTTTCTTAACAAAAATAATACATCCTACCTCTCATCTCCTAATTGAAACAACCATATGTGTAATGAATTATTCTGATTTATGACCATAGAAGTCACACATTTCTCTCTTTACATACTCAAGTGTTGACTGAAAGAGAAAATAAAATAATGCCTGTCAGGGGAAAAACAAAAAAAAAAACAAAAAAACAAAAAACACCTTAGTGATAATGTTTGTAGTGCTTTGTACCTGAGGCTGACCACAACATTGACTAGGACATTTCTACATCCAGAGGAGCATTAACAATAACCAGGGCCCATTCCAACAGCTGCCTTTGAAACCCACTTCTTGGTTACAGCCTGCAATCACCTCCTTGATTCTTCCTCCTGAACAGGCATGAATGAAAGACCATCTATTGTGCAGCAATTAACTGTACAATTTAGTTGACATATATTCTCTTGGACTTTTCTCAAATCCTGTTAATTGGCCCCAACACCTTTATTGTTCCTCTTCCAGAAATGTATGTTTCTATCAATTACATTGTCAAAACTGTCAAGAACTGTGAAGGATCTGAGACTTTATCTGCTTGAAAGTTAACAAGTTAGCCTATTATAGCTCCATGGATGCTGGCAGAAAGCATGAGACTCCTGGATCAGAGACAAAGGACAGTTAATTACACACAGAAATAGCAGTAGCCAGAAAGTTAACATGGGTGCCAATTCCCTAAGCTCCAAAGCTGCGAGTTGCATTCCAGGGGAGGAACTCCAAGCACAGGAAATCCAAAATTTTTATGGTGATCCATGATCCTACCTAACCTGGAGGAAAACATGACCTTTATTAAACAGTAAACTTGAATTTTTGTCCCAGAGGGAGAGACTATCTCTATTATAAGACTATTTGCTATACAAAATCCTTAAAAGGCAGCTAAGAATAAAGCCAGCCAGAGACTTTGCTTGTAGAATAGGGAGAAAGGCAAGATTCATGGAGAATTGTCTGCAGTATTTGCTTCCTTAAAGTCACTTCTGGCTGGGTGTGGTGGCTTAGGCCTATAATCCCAGCACTTTGGGAGGCGGGTGGATCACCTGAGATCGGGAGTTCGAGACCAGCCTGACCAATATGAAGAAACCCCATCTCTACTAAAAATACAAAATTAGCCGGGTGAGGTGGCACATGCCTGTAATCCCTGTTACTCAGGAGGCTGAGGCAGGAGAATCGCTTGAACTCGGGAGGCAGAGGTTGCAGTGAGCCAAGACCTCACCATTGCACTCCAGCCTGGGCAACAAGAGCAAAACGCCATCTTGAAAAAATAAAATAGATAAAATAAAAAAAAGATTACTTCCTTTTTTTTCCAATAGAAAAGCACCAACTTTTACATGCTCTATATTTTGTAATCATAAAAACTGCTGACGTTTACTATTTGGGGGGCCTGTTGGCACTGATTTACATATATGTTTATATTAGCTCATTTTATCTTCACCACATTACCATGAGGTAGATGCTATTATTTTATCTCCCATTTTGAAGATGAAAATACTAAGATATGGAATGTAAAGTGCCCAAGTTCACAGCTAAGAGCACTTCGTACCAGAAGACATGGAAAATATTAATCTTAGGAATTCTGAATCGAGAGTCCCTGCTCTTAGCATCAAAGCTAGGGCTACAAGCAGGACCACATAGCTTTAAAACAGACCCAAGAACAAATAAAGTCCTTAGTACTCAGTTGGATACATGACAATTTCTCAATGGATAATGATTAATATTAGGTTTTCTTATTATCTCTTATCTTAATTTTTAAAATGGAGAAACTTAGACTCAGAGAATATGGATTGGATAGCCAAGCATTCTCAAATAATAAAGGCTGGAAGCTTGGTTTTAAACCTAATTTTTACCAATTATAAAACTCCTTGTTCACATAAAACACCATGATACTTTTATGACAAAGAGGTCTCTACTGGACATTTCAAAATGTTACCTGATTTCTTGTAATGATTTGAAAAGTACTGCAAGTTAAACATATACATCAGAGAATATATAAATGTGAAGTCATAATTATCCTAATATTTATGCATATAGAATAATGTCATTTAATGCAGTTTCTTAAACACATCAAATGTAGAAGCCTATTTGCGTATAACATTCAACACCATAAGAAACATTGTTAAGTGCTTTAGGCCTATATTGGACCTTATTTATTTTGTTTTGAATATTAATTTCAACTCCAAAAAGTTAATCTGTATTCTAATCATATCTACTACACATATGTGTGATTCTTCTGATATGCAAAATAATAATGGCTATGATGCCTTTTATTTTATTATGAAAACCTATAGTATCCCAAATACCTGTAGAAAGTATGACATAAGGAAGTCCTTAGGTTTCATACTCAGGACAAAGGGTGACAATAAAGTAAATCATCATACTAACAGTATGTAACACTTCAACATAAAGTAGGAACATCTCTGATAGAAATTAGATTATTTGATAGAAATACAAACTCTTTTAAGTGGCCATGCAACACAGGACATATTGATTAAGTGGTACATTAGGTACAGGATTAGTAATTTTCTATTATCACTTACATTTAGACTTTATGGCCAGACAGTCCTGGATTGGAACTCAAATTCTGAAACTAATAATCTGAGGTAATTTAAATATCTCTGAACCTTAATTTCTCCATCTGTTACATGAGAATATCTGGATGGTTGGAAGAAATTAATTAGATACTCTATGGACATTGCTTATTTCAGTCCTATTAAAGAGAAAATAATAAACAGTAGCAGATAATTTAGTTTAACTGTAATTTATTAGAATCTCAGGACAAGTTGAGTACTGTGGTTGATGTTAGGAATGTATGGATGAATAAAGCACAGTTTCTGAGTGAGAGGGACATGTACTTCACTTGGGAGAGCCACATATAAGCAAATATTGCCTACACAATGGAGTATGTACAGAGGTGTACCAAAATAGCTCGGCATGTCAGGAGCTTCATTCTGGAGAGTGGAATCTATTCTAAAACTCAGATTATGAGTATAAATATACTACTTGAACAAGTGCTAATGTGGTCTGATATCACAGGCAGATACAATACTCTTGTGAAAATACAGTGTTTGCAAAGCATTCAGTCTTGGCTTTTCTTGTATGCGGAATCTTTCTAAATGTGGAAATACGTTTGGAAATGTGGCACACTTTGCTTATATTTGTTCTCAGGTCTGAAGTAAATTGTTTTAGAGAGGGGAAAAGCATGAACAGTGAACCCTGAGGACGCATGGTATTTATGGAGAACTACGAAGAGTTGTGTAGAAAGGCACATGAAAAGCAAATGGAGCGACAGGTGAAAGCAGTGGGCATTAAATAGCATACAGAAGCACTGAGCTTCTATTCTGTAAATCAGCGTTTCTCAAAATGGCGTCAGAATTAGACCCCATGCTCACCCATAGAGTTAGAACTTTTGGGAGTATGAATTAAGAATCTGCTCCTGTAATTAAATCTCTAATGATTTGTAAGCAAATAAAAGGGGAACTTGAGCTCTAGGTGAGCTGCAGCCACCAACTGTGTGATTAGCATTTTTGGTAGATGGCTTTAATGGTCACTAAAGAAAAAAATTGAGGGGGACAAACTGAAAGTCAGGAAGACAAATTAGGAGCCCATTTATTCATTCACATGATAACTTCGGCTGCGTGATGTGTAAACATAGTAGGAAAAAAGCAGGCAAATTCTTTCAACTTTCGGTGTCTATGTTCTTTCAGAAAACAAGATGAATAACTAATAATTTCATGTGTATTTTAAAAGAGATGTTCAAAATGCTGTAGGGGCAAATACATCCTGGCTTAACCCAGACAGGAGGGTGAAATGGGAAAAGCTTGAACGAAGTGACGATATTCACAGTTAGATTAAATAACTAGATATCACGTGGGTGAAGTCTGAAAGGAGGAAGCGGAGAGTGTTCAAGGCTGAGCGAACATCATCACTGAAAGCTCTAAGACATGAAAGATGAAAAAACAGAATATGGTTCCTTGGAGCAATTCAGTATTTCTTATTTTGGGTGGGAGACTTCTTTTTTTTTTTTTTTTTTTTTTTTTTTTTGAGAGGTAGTCTCGCTCTGTCGCCCAGGCTGGAGTACAGTGGTGCAATCTCTGTACTTTCACTGCAACTTCCGCCTCCCAAGTTCAAGCAATTCTACTGCCTCAGCCTCTCTCCCAAATAGCTGGGACTACAGGCGCCCACTACCACGCCTGGCTAATTTTTTTTTATTTTTAGTAGAGACGGGGTTTCACTGTGTTAGCCAGGATGGCCTCAATCTCCTGACCTCATGATCTGCCCGCCTCGGCCTCCCAAAGTGCTGGGATTACATGCGTGAGTCACCGTGCCTGGCAGGGTTGGGGGACTTAACAATACCATATGATTATATAAATCCTCTTAGGAATTTAAGAATTTTTTTCATTTTTATGTGCTATATTACAAATTATAGGGAAATTTAAAAAATTAAAGGTTTTAAGAAAATATTTTACAGCAATATGAACACAATCTATTTATATGTATTTTGGAGAGGCAATTTTGAGCATTTGAGCCATTTTAAAAAAGTATATTGTTGACTTTAATTATCTCAGAAAAATGTAGGAATAATACAGTAATAAACAATGTATTGTATATAGATGAATTTGGGGATCTGGAGGACTGAGTGTATACCGAATATAGGTTGAAATAGAATTATATCTTACACCATGTAATATAAATATATTGCTTTCATAAGCTATTGTTTAGGTTTCTTGAATTTTTTTCTAAAATAAATGAGTGTTTTAATAATGTTTATGTTTTGCTTCTAACTAATGAGATAGTAGAGAGGGTGTTAGATTTCTACTTAAAAGCAAAAAAAATAATAGCACATTAACACGTTACGGTTGCATATATTTTATTCTCAAGAAATATAAAAAGGCAATTTCAAATGTAACCAGTCTTACATTTTCTCTTTTATTAGCACTGGAACTGGTTTCAAAGTTGACAAAGACGATATGTTGACGTGTTGTAAATGATTTTAATAATATAAATACAATATGTAGTACAATGAAAGTCACCTTGTTGTTTATTTGCAGAATTATTATTAACTTGTAATTCAGCGTCAACAATGCTTATGCTTTCTATCTTCAATCTAGTATTTATTCTGGAAATAAATTAAACAAATTAAAATGAAAGCAATAAAGCTAACCAATATGGTAAAAACTGACACAGGACAGGGCGCGGTGGCTCACGCTTGTAATCCCAGCACTTTGGGAGGCCGAGGCAGGCAGATCACAAGGTCAGGAGATCGAGACCATCCTGGCTAACACGGTGAAACCCCGTCTCTACTAAAAATATAAAAAATTAGCCGGGTGTGGTCACCGGTGTCTGTAGTCCCAGCTACTCGGGAGGGAGGCTGAGGCAGGAGAATAGCATGAACCCGGGAGGCGGAGCTTGTAGTGAGCCAAGATCACGCCACTGTACTCCAGCCTGGGCAACAGAGAGAGACTCTGTCTCAAAAATAAAAAAATAAAAAACTAAAAATAAAATAAAAATAAAACTGACACAGGTAATGAAACAATTCAGATACATTGTTGGCTGAGTCATTAGCAAGTTCATTTCAAGTCAGTAACCCCTTAAATGAGCCCACTTAAAAATTACAGATGTCATACCGTTGTATTTTTAAGTGGAAGTATGTACAGTATTTAATTATTAAAACTAGAAATTAAAATAGTTTTAATTATCACCATTAGAAACTTGGACCCACTGAAACACCTTTGCAAGTTCCTGATTGTGGGGGAAAATGAGAGATTCACAGACACTGGAATGTGCAGAATTGAATGCAATCCAATGAAACAGGCCAGTAGAGAATGAGAGAGACAGACACACACACACACATAGAGGGAAAGAGACAGAGACACAGAGAAAGTTGCATGAGATTTATTTGAAAGGTAAAATATTTTAAAGCTTTCAACTGAAATTTTTCAGAATTGTTTTTTCCTTGTGAACATCATGAGATGACATAAGGCTATTAAGTTGAAACCGATATGATCTTATTAGCATTTTCATTCAGATAATCTAAATGTATATTCAAAAATGAATCTGGTAGCTAAGAATGGATAGAAGAAGCAATTACAAAAGTTTAGATAAGATGTGATGGAAGACGGACTTTCATGTTGTTATGGGAATTGAGAGAATTAAGCATAGTCAAAAATTAGAATAAAGAATGGGGGGCCGGGCGCGGTGGCTCACGCCTGTAATCCCAGCACTTTGGGAGGCCGAGGCGGACCGATCACGAGGTCAGGAGATCGAGACCACGGTGAAACCCCGTCTCTACTAAAAATACAAAAAATTAGCCAGGCGCGGTGGCGGGTGCCTGTAGTCCCAGCTACTCCGAAGGCTGAGGCAGGAGAATGGCGTGAACCCCGGAGGCAGAGCTTGCAGTGAGCCGAGATTGCGCCAATGCACGCGAGACTCCGTCTCAAAAAAAAAAAAAGAAAGAATAAAGAATGGGCTGCGGCCATGCGCGGTGGCTCATGCCTGTAATCCCAGCGCTTTGGAGCACTTTGGGAGGCTGAGGCAGGCGGATCACCTGGGGTCCAGGAGTTCGAGACCAGCCTCAACATGGAGAAACCCTGTCTCTACTAAAAATACAAAATTAGCCAGGGGAGGTGGTGCATGCCTGTAATCCCAGCTACTTGGGAGGCTGCGGCAGGAGAATTGCTTGAACCTGGGAGGCGGAGGTTGCAGTGAGCCGAGATCGTGCCATTGCACTCCAGCCTGGGCAACAAGAGTGAAACTCCGTCTCAAGAAAAAAAAAAAAAAAAAAAAAAGAATGGGCTGCAATTGTTTAGATGTGAGAGAGAAAGTGTTGATCAACAAGTTGGATGTTAGCAATGTTTTCTGACAAAGGTATTATTGAATGAGAATGAAAGAGATGACAAGAATGACTATTTTTGTGGTTACTATAGTTGTTTTATTTTCCCCCATTTTATTCATTTTTTAATGTTTTTGAAGTTTATAAATGACACATAATTGTACATATTTATGAGGTATAGGTGATGTTTTGATACATGAATAAATAATATAGAGATCAAATCAGGGTAATTAGCATATTCATTCATTTAAATATTTATCAACAATAAGGAAATTTTAAAACCTCTCTTCTAGCTATTTTGAAATATACATTATTGTTACCTCTAGTCATCCTACTATGCAATGGAACACCAGAACTTATTTCTTCTATCTAACCATAGTTTTGTCGCTGTTGACCAATCTTTCAACATCCCCTTATTTCCCCTACCTTTCCCAGTCTCTGCTAACCACTGTTCTATTTGCTATTTCTATGAGAATGACTTCCATTTTTTAAATAATGGAATAGACAAGAATATGTAAATTCTAATAGGAAGAGGTGGATAGAGAGGGAGACATTAAAGTGACAGAAAAGGGAAATGTATGTTATTGTAAAAATAAGAAATTGGCTGAGATATTTTAATAACAATTTTAATAACATAAAAAAATAGGATAGAGATATAAGAAAAACTATATGGGGCTGATAATATTATGGAGATGATAGTGACACATTGATACTTCATTGATTATCTCCCCAACTATCTTATGTTTTATGTGTGTGGTAGGAGGCGAAGACAAAGGAGAATAGGTTGGAGATGTGAAGAGTGTGGAGAGCATTTTCAAAATTCTTGGCGGTGAATATGAGATTAGAATTGCATCCTTGAGGGTTCAGGTGAGGTTGCATAAGCAAGAATTTACTTTTAAATCAAACTGCTTAATTGTGAGATGTTCTCAATTATCACCAGAAGCCACGTTGCATTTCTGGTGTAGGCAGGATACTTTAATGCCAATTGGATTAGGTTTTGCTAAAATAATTTGATGACAGAATAAAGAGTCATGCTATTGGTCATTCAAATGATGGTGATGGTGGTGGAGGTGATCAAAGGCAATAATCGTTGAAAGAAATGATTAAAATTTTTAGTTTCTCTCACATGGATTGGACTTGAAAATAATCAAGAAATTGAAGGCCATCCTGAAATTATCCTAAAATTGTAAGGACATGAGGATTGAGTAGATGAGTGTGTGTGTGTGCACACATATGCATTTATGCATACCTCCACAGATTATACGGGAACATGGCTTAATTAAGAGGCAGCAACAGAAATTAAATTCACTCAAAGCTTCCTTCTTGGATGACTAACAATACACATAATACGAGAGAAGCTCCAACATTCTGGGGGCTGGATTACGAGTTTAATTTTAAACTTGTGAAGAAGTTTTAGGTGTTTCTCATGTATTTTTCAGAGTCCTACCAGAAGACAGCAACATTGTGTTTTAAAGAGAAAATGTTTAATATAAACAACTATTAACTAAAGCAGAGGATTGAAGCTCACAGGGGATTTGCTAAGAAGAAGGAGAACTCTGAAGAATACAGATAGGAGATCAGAGGAGTAACATT
Organism: Homo sapiens; assembly: GCF_000001405.40. Taxonomy (NCBI): domain Eukaryota; kingdom Metazoa; phylum Chordata; class Mammalia; order Primates; family Hominidae; genus Homo; species Homo sapiens. The sequence continues at coordinate 23,209,487 of NC_000005.10, read as the reverse complement.
CAATCATACAACTAGAAGTAGAGAGCACCTATGGAAGAGCTCCTCACACGCAACACCCCAAACTTGAAATCCAGATCTCAGTGGCATTGGCCTAGCCTTAGCTCACTGAAACATACAGAAATCTCAGGTGCTGTCCTAGCAGAATTTGCTGAAAATTGGCTGTGTTTCTAGGGCAAGCCATCCACAGAGAGATGCCATACCTCAGAGCTTAGGAAATCAGCCTGAGGTTTTGCTGAGCTAAGCTGTTGTCTGTCCTGCACTGCAGGAAGCAGATAATGGAAAACCCATTGCTGAAGGAGCTGAATTGCAGAGAAACTGTGCACTGCAGGAACCTACTGAGAAGAGCACCCTGAGAATGAAATGCCCATTCTTCCTTCACAGTTCCTCTACTGCCCTCTATTGGTCAGTTTTAAATCCTGCCAGCCAGCAAAGTACAGACATTTAAAAGGCCCAGCTTCATTTTCAGAGGAGGAAGTAAGGGATACACGTGCAGTTGAGAGTCAATAATTTGATAAACATCACAGTGGGCTATCTACTGGAAGTAATCTGCTGAAGGAAACTTACAGCTGAAAAAAAGAGGTTAGGCAAGAAATCGGAAGTTGTCAAAGAATGGGTGTTCTCCAATTATTTTCCTAATTGACCATAAAATTTGGCACAGAAATACACATTTGAAGGTAAATTAACCATTTTGACAGCTTGACAAAAGAAAAAAAAATTGTTGTCATGCATGAAAGCTTACATTCGTTCTACTCTTCTAGCCTATAAGTAAACAAACATAATTTATAAAAGGGCCAGATAGTAAGTGTGTGATGCTTTGCTGATGATCTGGTCTCTGTTGCAACTATTTAACTTGATCATTATAAGGAAAAAAACAGCCATAGACAATGTATATGAAAATAAGGCTCTGTTCCAAACAAATTATTTATAAAATAATAATAAATATGTATAATAATATAAAATAAAATGTAAAAACATTATTTATAAAAACCAGACATGGGCTAGATTTAGTCCACAGGCCATAATTTCTGATCTCTGATTTAGATAATTACAATTGGCTAATTACAAAGAGTATATATGATCAGAATGCTTCCAGCAATAGCCAGAATGACAAATCACTGTCTTTGTTTAATGTTTTTTCTTTGTTTTTCATATAAACTTATTGTCTATATTCAATATATTCATCCATACAATGAAAAAAATATATAATTCTCAGAATTGTACATATATAAAATGGAAAACGTATCAATATTATAAAAGCATGCTTAATTTTATAAAATAATAAAACAACTCCTAAATTCAATTTATACTTGATACATTGACAAATAATATTCAACATACCATTAAGGAAAAAAAAAGCGAAATTCTATTTACCTGCTTTCAGATTTTTAATTGATGGTATGATGTTCAACTTTACTTAATTTTAATTTAGATTTTAGCAAAATTTATAAAAGTGCAGCAGACATCTATTACCCCAATATACATCCACTATTGCTTCAACATTCATAAACTGGGCTACAAAGTTTTACTATATTATTTCAAATAAATAAGTGGAAAATTATAAATGTTTATTCTTATAAATTAATTCACAGATAAATTACATGTATTTAGTTATTTTATGGATTTTTCTCATTAAAAAGAGGCCACATAAATAATTTTAAAATTTTATTTGACAAACCTTACTGATCTCTTTCAAAATCTTCTGTGTCACACACACTGTTCTGGTTACCAATATTCACACAAAAAATATTAGATACTGAAACATAATTTCTATGGCCTTAGTGTTGGTGTCTCCCCAAAAATCAGGTGTTGAGTCTGTATTAGTTCGTTTTCATACTGCTATAAAGAACTGTCCGACACTGGGTAATTTATAAAAGAAAGAGGTTTAATTGACTCACAGTTTGGCGTGACTGGGGAGGCCTCAGGAAACATACAATCATGGCGGAAACAAACGGGAAGCAAAGCACCTTCTTCACAAAATGGCAGGAAGGAGACGTGCTGAGTGAAGGGGTAAGAGCTCCTTATAAAACCATCAGACCTCATGATAACTCACCGCTATCACGAGAACAGCACCGGGGAAACCGTCCCCATGATTCAATTGCCTCTGCCTGGTGTCTCTCTTGACATGTGGGGCTTATGGAGATTATAATTCAAGATGAAATTTGAATGGAGACACAAAGCCTAACCGTATCGGTCTTTAGGAAGTGATTAGAACATGAGGGATCCACTCATGAATGGAATTAGTACCATTCTAAAAGAGGCCCAAGAGAACTGCCTTGCCTATTCCACCATGTGAAGACACAGCAAGAAGGCACTGTCTATGAACCAGGAAGCAGGCCCTCACTAGACGCTGATCTGCGGGCATTGACTTCCCGGCCTCTGGAACTGTGAAAAATAAATTTCTTTTGTTTATAAATTACTCAATCTGAGGTATTTTTGTCAAAGCAGCCTAAACATACCAACAGAAATTTAGAAGTTAGGCATAAAAGAATGGGAAGCGACTCTCATTTATCAAAGAACAGGAAGAAGTCATAAGATGGTTCGGAAAGATTAGCAAATCCTATTCAAAAGCAGTCGGGAAAATCAGTATGTTAAGAGTAGAGGTTTTGGCCAGACATGGTGACTCGTGCCTGTCATCCCGGCATTTTGGGAGTTTGAGGTGGGAGGATTGCCTGAGGACAGAAGTTTTTGACCAGCCTGGGCAACATAGTGAGACCCTTTCTCAACAAAAAAATATTTGAAAAGCTATCAGGGCGTGTGGCATGTGCCAGAAGTCTTAGCTTTTTGTGAGCCTGAGGTGGGAGGATTACTTGAGCCCAGGAGTTTGAGATTTCAGTGAGCCATTATCATGCCACTGCACTCTGGCCTGGGTGACAGAGAAGACTCTGTTTCTAAAAGAATTAAAAAGAAAAAGTTAAAAAGGGCAGAGGGAATAGTTACAATGAAAAGTTATCAATAAATAAATACGGATCATTTTGATGTGATTAGTTGGCTGTGAGTGGTGCTTAGGGAAATAACAAGTTAAGTTTGCCTGTATACTTGATTACGTTTTCTAAAACCTTAGATTCAATAGAACATAAAAAAATCTGAGAAGCGAACATTGGCTACCTTTAGGAGGTAGAATGAAGAAGTCTTGCAGAATAAATGGAATTGAGACATGGAAGAAATAAGGTAGAAACAGGGGGTATAATGGTAATTTGAAAGCCAAGGAAATTTCCCAGTGAGAGTGTGGTCAGCAGTATCAAATACCAAGCAATGAACTGCATTTGTGGACATAAAGAGAAGAAACTCCATTATGTAGAAGATACACGGGGGTTGCCATAAGTGAATTTATGTTCAAATTCCTATCCTGCCATTTAGCAACTGGGTTGCTTTGAAAAGGTTTTAGAAAAAGTCTTTCTGATCCTCAGTTTTATTTGGGAAATAAAAATGCTAATAACAACTTTCCCAAAGGTTATAATTAAGGATCAAATAATTTACTAATAATGAATCAATCTGACACATTTATGTTGTGACAATTAGTACTATTTGTGATAGCACTGAAGACTGGGAGCAAGAGTTAAAGTGCTAAATGAAAGGGATGCGAATGCAGCCTATAAATGTACAAGCTTATTTCAGGAAGTTTGACATTTATGGGAAGGAAAAAAATATCTATTTAAGTTAAGTGGGGCAGGTTGTTGGTTTGGGTTCCAGTAGTTAGAAGCTACTGTGCAAGGCAAGTATTTAAGGCAATAGGAAACATCTTCGCAAAAATAGCCAAGACCAAGAAGTACTGCATGCCATTTACATTTGTTAATCAGCACATATCCAGAGCTTAAACTGCCATACATAATACAGCATACAAAATAGTTACAAAACCCCTACCTAAATCCACTATTCCAAGCTTAATCATGCTATTTAATTGCCAAGCTTAATTTGAAAATAATTGTTCACAGCAATTAAGTAAATGCCCCAATTTCATTAACAGACTTTCTAATTAGAACCTACAACATAAAAGTGCTAATGTTGCTTCATTAGCTTTGATTTACTGTTTCTAATACACACTATTTTTTTATTATTCTTTTCTTCAAACCTGAAACTGTGTTTTAGGGTTAATTTTGTATTGTTCTTTGTAAATATCAAGGGGTAATTATTTCTGGATTAAAGCGTAGATAGATCTTATATTAAACTTTCATTTTAACTTTTCACATTAACCACATATTGGGACCAACATTTTAAAACCTCCTTATTGTAGAATAATTTAAAGCAATTAGTGAAGATTGCACTTGGCTTGAATTGTAAACAAACAGGTTTTTCAAAATTGAATATGCTCCTTCACATATGGTATCCAATTGTAAAACAGAAGAGCAAAGAAAGAAGTCTAATTGCGACATAAGCCCACTATTACAAATTGCTTAAGTTGGCAACTGAAGAGAATGGAAGGTGACTTTGATTAGTAGTAATATTAAAATCTAAGACAGTAAAATTAAAAATCTTCAAATATATAAATTATTGTTTGTTTGCTAATTTTAAAACCTAGGGAATTAATTTTTCTCTTTCAATTCCTGCCTTTGTCAACTGAAAAGAATTTCCTTATGTTTTCAAGCAAGTATTGCAACCTTCTATATATAATATACCTACTATTATGGCATAATTATAGAAAAGGATGGAAAATATACTGTTTCACTAAATTGACACTAAGATGAGGTTTGAACAATTTGAACATTATTAGTAGGATTGCAGTTTAAGAGTGAGGGAGGCAGAACTAAAAGGCTGCCTAGTCCATCTTCACTGCATAAATACAATTGACCCTTGAACAACATAGAGGTTGGAGGCGCCAAATTCCCATGCATTTGAAAATCTGCATATCAATTTTGACTCTCCAAAACCTTAACTACTAATAGCCTAGTTTTGATCAGAAGCCTTATTGGTAACAAACAGTTGATTAACATGTATTTTATATGTTTATATATATATATATTTTATATGTTTATATATATATATAATGTGCTGTATTCTTACAATAAAGGAAGCTAGAGAAAAGGAAATGCTATTGAGAAAAACAAAGAAGGGAGTATTTACTATTCATGAAGTGGCAGTGAATCATCATAAAGGTCTTCATCTTCCTTGTCTTCAAACTGAGTACCCTGAGGAAGAGGAGGAAGAGGAAGGGTTGGTCTTGCTGTCTCAGAACTGGAAGAGGCAGCTTTATGGTAATGTACACACACACACACACACACACACACACACCTCAGAACATATTTTTCTTGGAAACATATCTTTGTGAACATGTCACAACACATGACAATTGCTATCTAAGGAGATTGCATCATGATGATTGGGGTAAAAAGAGAAAATTAAATATGAGAGATCTTGTATGGATCAACTATGTTAATAGTTTCCCTGAGGAGACTGCTTAATTGTATCATTCTATATTTTATACATAAAGTTCAAAAGGAAAAATATAAATATTAAATTTAAAACTATTACTTTTTTAGATTAATAAACTTTAATTTTTAGATCATTTTAGTTTCACAGAAATGTTGAATTGAAAGTACAAAGTTCCCACATATTCCCAGGCACTCATAACCTCCCCCACCATCAAAATCCCACACACTCTGGTTCATTTGTTATCATCGATACATGCACATTGATGCATCATCATTATCCAAAGACCACAGTGTACCTTAATGTTCCCCTTGGTGTTGTATAGTCCATGAATTTTGACAAATGTATAAGGACATATGTCCACTATTTATTTTCACACAGAATAGTTTCATTGCCTTAAAATCCCTCTGTCCTCTTTCTATTCATCCCTCCCTCCCCCTAAACACTGGCAAACATGAAACTTTTTACCACCTCTTGAATGTCATATAGTTGGAAGCATACAGTATGTAGCCTGTTAAAATACTCTTTTCTACTTAGTAGTATGCATTTAAGTGTTCTTCGTATCTTTTCATGGCTCGATAGCTAATACTTTTTAGCACTGAATAATCTTCCATTGTCTCCATGTACCCGAGTTTATTTATCCAGTAACCTACTGAAGGGTATGTGGTTGTTTCCAAGTTTTGGACATAATGAATAAAGCTGCTTTAAACATTTGTGTGCAGGTTTTTGTGTGGACATAAGTTTTCAGCTCCTAGGAGTAAATACCAAGGAACACAATTGCTGGATTATATGGAAAGGGCAGGTTAAGCATTGTAAGAAACTCCCAAACTGTCTTCCAAAGTGGCTCTACCATTTTGCATTCCCACCAGTAAGGAATGAGAGTTTCTGTCATCCCTACTGGTGGTAATGCAAAATGACCACATCCTTGTCAGCATTTAATGTTGTCAGGTTTTGTATACTGACCATTCTAACAAGTGTTGAGTAGTAGCTCATTGTTTTTATTGGCAATTCCCTAATGGCATATAACTTTGAATGTATTTTCATAGACTTACTTGCCATCTGTATGCACTCTTCGGGGAAGTGTCTGTTCAAGTCTTTTTTCCATTTTTCAATAGGGTTTTTCATTTTCTTATTGTTGAGTTTTAGTATTATTTGTCTATTTTGGATAACAGAGCTTTATCGGATTTGAATTTTGCAAATATGTTTTCTCAGTCTGTGACTTGTCTTCTTTTTCTCTGGTCATTGTCTTTTGCAGAACGGAAGTTTTTAATTTAATGACAGCAAGCTTATTTATTAATTATTTCATATATTGGGTTTTTAGTATCATATATAAAAAGTCATTGTTATACCCAAGTCTATCTAGGTGTTCTCCTATTTTATCTTCTAGTTCTATAGTTTTGTGTTTTAATTTAGGTCTATAATTTATATGTTGTTATTTTTTGTGGAGGGTTTAAGATTTTGTGTAATTCAATTTTTGCACATTTGCACAGTTGTTTTAGTTCCATTTCTTGAAAAGAATATCTCTGCTTCATTATATTGACTTCTCTCCTTTTTTAAAGATCAGTATACCACATTCATGTTGGTCTATTTCTGGGCTCTATTCTGTTCTATTGATTTGTCTAATCTACTCTTTGGCCCAAACCACACTGCCTTGATTAATGTAGTTTTATTGTAAGACTAAAGCTGGGTAGTATCAAATTTCTGACTTTTCTTTTTCTTCTTCATTATTGAGTCAGGTATTCTGAGTTTTTTTGTCTCTTCACATAAACCTTAAGTATAGGTTTGTGAATATCTACAAGATATCTTGCTGGAATTTTTATTGTCAATGCATTGAATCTAATAACCAAATTGGAAAGAACTGACATCTTGACATTATTGACTCTTTCCATGCATAAATGCAGAATACTTTCCCATTTATTTAGTTTTTCTTCTTAATACAGTATCTTTTTATGAGAGTTTCATAGTTTTCTTCACATAAATTTTGTACATATTTTGTTAACATATTTTGTTTTCAAAGTATTTCATTTTGGGATCCTAATGTGTTATGACATTTTTTATTTCAAATTCCACTTATTCATAGCTGGTATATACAGAATTGCCCTTTGTATATTAACCTTGTATCCTGCAACCTTGCTATAATTGCATATTAGTTCTGAGAAGGTTTTTTAAATTGTCTGGTCCTCTAATTTTTTCCATTTCTTCATGTCAATGATAATATCACCTATGAACAAAGACTGTTTCATTTTGTCTTTTCAATCTATGTAATTTTAAATTTCTCGTATTGACTTATCACATCAACTGGGACTTCCAGGATGATGTTAAAAAAGCAGTAATGGCTGGGTGCGGTAGCTCATGCCTGTAATCCCAGCACTTTGGGAGGCTGAAGGGGGCGAATCACCTGAGGTTGGGAGTTCAAGACCAGCCTGACCAACATGGAGAAACCCCATCTCTGCTCACTGCAACCTCTGCCTCCCGGGTTCAAGTGATTCTCCTGCCTCAGCCTCCCAAGTAGCTGGGATTACAGGTGTGTGCCACCACACCCGGCTAATTTTGTGTTTTTGGCAGAGACAGGGTTTTTCCATGTTGGTCAGGCCGGTCTCAAACTCCCAACCTCAGGTGATCTGCCTGCCTTGGCCTCCCAAAGTGCTGGGATTACAGGCATGAGCCACCGCGCCCGGCTTCCCGATTCTTTTGATTCATGTTAGAATGGTATATCTTTCTTCATCGCTTTATTTTAAAACTATATGTGTAATTACATTTAATGTGGGCTTCTTGTAACTAGTACACAGTTTTCTTTTAATTTACTCTGACAATCTGTTTTTTAATTGGTGTATTTAGCCTATTAATGTTTAAGGTTATTAGTGATATAGTTGCATTAATAGCTACCATATTTGTTATTGTTTTTGTCACTATTGTTTTTTGTTTCTATTTTTATCTTCCAAACTTTTTCTGCCTTTTGTGATTTTAATTGGGTATTTTATATAATTTCATTCATTCTCCGTTCTTATTGTCATAATTATGCATTTAAAAAAATTAAGTGGTTGAGATTTTACAATCTATATTTAGAATTACTTCAAGCCCATTTTCAGATAACATTATACTACTTAACAGGAAGTATAACTCATAATAACAAACTATTCCTATTTTTTCCTCCTGTTCCTTGTATTATCAGTGATGTCATACATTTTACTTATACATAAGCATATATAAATATATATAGTTGTAAATAATTGAATATAGCTTCTACTGTTATTTTGAACAATTTTGTTATCTATTGGATAAACTAAGAATAAGAAAAATAAAAGTATTGTTTTTTACTTATTTATTCTCTAACGTTCTTCCTGTCTTTATTTAGATCTGCATTTCTGACCTATATAATTTTTCTTTGTACTGAAAAACAGGTTTTTAACTCTTCTTGCAAGACATCTGATGGCAAAAAATTCCCTCAACTTTTGTTTTTCTGTGAAAATCTTCACTACTCCTTCACATTTGAGGGATAATAAATTCTAAGTTGGTGTTTTTATGTTTGTTTGTTTTATTTTTTCTCTCAACCCCTCAAATATTTTATTCTACACTCTTCTTTCAGGCATGTTGTTTGAGGGGAAGTTGTATGTAATTCTTACCTTTGAAATTTTTTTTTTTCTTCCCTCTGGCTTCTTTCACAACTTTTTTTAACTTTTTTTTTTTTTTCTTTTTTCTGAGAAGGAGTCTTACCCTGTCACTAAGCTGGAGTGCAATAGTGCAATCTGGGCTCACTGCAACCTCTTCTTCCCGGGTTTAAATGATTTTCATGCCTCAGCCTCCCATATAGCTGGGATTACAGGCATGTTCCACCATGCCTGGCTAATTTTTTGTATCTTTAGTACAGATGGGGTTTCACCATGTTGGCCAGGCTGGTCTCGAACTCCTGACCTCATGATCCATCTGCCTCAGCCTCCCAAAGTGCTGGGATTACAGGTGTGAGCCACCACTCCTGGCCAGATATAGGTTTTCTGGCATTTATCCTGCTTTGTGTTTTCTGAGTTTCCTGGGTTTGTTGTTTAGTTTCTGACGTTAATTTGGGAAAATTCTCCATCATTATTTTCTCAAATAACCTTTCTGTTCATTCCATTCTTTCTTCTTTTTCCGGTATTCTCATTATACTTATGTTATACATTTTGTTGTTGCACAGCTCTTGGATATTATGCTGTTTTTGTGGGGGGTTTTATTCAGCATTTTTTTCTCTGTTGTTTTTAGTTTTTGAAGATTCTATTGTCATATCTTCAAGCTCAGACAGTCTTTCCTCAGCCACGTCCAGTCTAATGAACCCACACGATAAATTCTTCATTTCTGTTACAGAGTCTTTAATTTCTAGCATTATTTTTGACTCTTTGATATAATTTCTATCTCTCTGCTTATATTATTCTTCTGTTTTGGCATATTATCTACATTTTCCATTAAAGCTCTTAGCATAGTAATTATAGATTTTTGGGGAGATTTTGTTTTGATTCTTGATCTGATAATTCTGGCATTCTTTCTATAACTGACTGGTTCTGAATCTTATTCAGTCTCTCAAACTTTGTTTTTGCCTATGAGTATGCCTTATAATTCTTTGTTGAAAAATGGATATAACCTACAGGATACAAGAAACTGCACTAAGTAGACCTTTAGCAATATAACAGTAAATTGTGGGGACAAGAAAAGTTTTTGTCTTATAATTTGGTCTCATTCTTTTGGTAAGATTGTGCCCTTGGACCATGAACTTCGCTAGTGCCTCCTGGTCCTCTCCCACTTAGGTGGAGCAGGATGGCTGGAAGAGGGCAAGTGCTGTGTATTTCCCTTCCTCCATGTAGAAGGCTTCCTTTCCCCAGGACAGTTAGGCTTTCATAAAACCCCAGCAGATTAGTCTCTGCTAAATAGTTTCCCCTGAAGGCAGGCCTTATATTAAGAAGAAGAGAATGCTATGGCATCTTTCAAAATGATTACTTTTCGTCTCCCCCTACCAACATCACAAAGGGAAGTTTTTTCCAATATTTACTGTGAAGAATTGGTAGCACTTCTGAAGGTAAAATTTATAAAAATGCAGCAGCCTCCCGAAAACAGGGCCTCCTGGAGTTTTTAAGTCTCAGAGTTGTCCACACTGTGCTTCAACAATTTATCAATTACAGTTCAGGTCCACCCTGCCACTGGTTCCTGCAGAGATTTTTGATCCAGGGTTTCTGCTCAGATAAGTTGTGATTCTCTGTATCTGTCTGTCTGTTTCTCCAACATTGGGAGTGATAGACAGTGATCTGCACTCACTTCTCTACCAGATGTAACAAGAACTGATGATTTTGTTATCTTTTTATTTGTTGTTACGATGGAGTGGCAACTTCTAAGTAACTGACATGCCAGACTAGAAATCAGCATTGCCCTACAAAATTTAAAAAATTCTGCATAACCACTGAGAGAACTTGGGAAGTCATAGAGGAATGAAGATACTATTGGTGTTATACGCCAAGAATGGCTTGCACTGACTAGCAAGAATTGATCACGTCCATCCCTTCACAACTCCTAGTTCAGTGATGTAACATGGGTGGGTTGAAATTGACCATGAGATTGTTTGAGTAGGTAGCCAGTCAGACATGAGCAGGGTAAGAGAGGGCCCCACACAATTAGGAATGTCAGGCAACCATCAGGTGATGGCCAGGTGGTCATTAACTGTCTCTCTAAAATAATAATTAGTTGCAGCCAGCACCAGGGAAAGGCAGTCTCCCAACAGATAGAAACACAAGAAACTGGTGATTAGCAGTTTCCCAATAAGATCTCAGAAGTTGGGTGAGTGGGCTCAAACATGAGCACTAAGAGGCAAAATGGCAGACGATCTTCCTCTAGGAACACCGGACAGATAAGGGAAAAATGCCCAAGTGAACATGCATATTTTAGTAAACAGACTGCACATAGAGCCCCTCCCAACTGCCAGTAGGCCACTGAGCGTGCGGAGAGCCCACCCTAAGGGAAGAATCAGAGGAGAAGAGATGCAACCCCCAGGAATCATGCCAACATATAAAACCCCAAGCCAGAGGTCAAACCACTCATTTGTCTCTCTAGAGTCAAGTGCTTGGCCTTCTTCCACGTGTACTTTACTTCCTTTCATTTCTGTCCCAAAGCTTTTTAATAAACTTTCACTATTGCTCTAAAACTTGCCTCGGCCTCTCACTCTGCCTTGTGCCCTGTGGTTGAATTCTTTCTTCTGAGGAGACAAGAATTGAGGTTGCTGCAGACCCCTACAGATTCACCGCTGCTAACGTACAAGCATCTACTCTTCACAGTAATTGGCTTATCCTACAAATCATCCCCCTTTCCTCACCCACACACTTGATGTAATGGAATACTTAAGGAGTTTCCAGTGACCATCAAACAGGGAGACAAAAGTTATCCCTTAATATCTGCTTTACAGTCTCTCAATTTCAAGTGACATAATCTAGTACTAACAGGTTCAAGCAGAAAGAGAAACAAATTGATTGGTTCAAAAACTGAAACATCTGTTTTTAGTCCTAGTTTCAGACACCATCATATTCAGGATTCATACTATATCATCAGAGCACCATTTCTATGATTCTCTAAGCTCTGCCTCTCATGGTGTATTCTTTCTTTTACTTTTTATGATGGCCCATAGTAGGTCAATACTCATAGCCTCCTGGGTTCAAAGCCAGCATAAAAAGAAAGTTTCTCTTTCTGATGAATAACAGTCCCATGCATTCCTCTGTATGGACAAATTTAACATAAACTTCTACCCTGAACCAATAAGCATAATGTGTGTGTGTGAGTGTGTGTGTGTGTGTGTGTGTGTGTGTGTGTGTGTGTGTGTGTGTGTCTGGAGAGAGAGAGAGAGAGAGATTGCAATGAAATTGATGCTTTACCCCTGAGCTAGAAATAGAGCCCCACCTAGGGCTCAGAACCCTATTGCATAGGACAGGAACTCCAAGACAATCTTCAGTTTGTCACCAGCAGCAACATAAAGTTGGAAGAAAAAGACAAAACAGATGTTGATTACTTCCTACAATGAAGTGAAAGTAAAAGAAAGGTGTCCCTTTAAATTAGAAACCAAGAGATTTGTGTTTACATCTCCCAGAATTTTGTTTGAAAGTTCTAAATTTTTAATGTGGCAGTTGAGTTATTTCCAAATTGTCCCTGAACGGAGCTTTTACCAAATTGTGACAGATGGATATCTCAGTTCAGAATGCTATAACAAAATACCATACACTGGGTGGCTATAAACAACACATTTTTTTTTGCTCACAGTTCTGAAGGCTGACAGTCCAAGATCAGGATACTGGTATGGTCAGGTTCTGGGGCGGGCCCTTTTCCAGATTGCAATTGCCAACTTCTCATTGTCTCCCCCCAGGGTTGAAAGAGGGCAAGAGGGTTCTCTGGTGCCTCTTTAATAAGGGTGCTAATCTCACTCATGGGGGCTCTATCATCATGATTTTATCACCTCTCAAGGACCTTACTTTCTAATGCCATCACGTTGGAGATTAGCATTTCTATATATGAATTTGGAGGAGACATAAACATTCATTCCATAACAGTAGAAGTTATGGAAAGGGAGAGTCTGAGCAGTAATAATGACAGAAGTAATATATATATGGCTCTCCAGGGGCTCATAAGAAAAGCGGATGTCTAATAGGAGAAGGCCATCTCCATTAACAGAGAGCACAGGTTTGGTACCAGTGGAGTAGGCTGACTTACCATTGTTGGTCAAGGCCACCAAAAAATATTAAAGTCAATACCAAGGCCATCTGATATCATCCAGGTGCATTTAGGTGACAGCAATAGTTGCCGTGACATAACCGAAACAGAAGTTATGGACCACTGTGTTTTGGTGTTAATTTTGAAATGTAGAATGGGAGAATGTAGCTTGAAATACAGTCTTGAAATACAGTCTCAGAAAGGGTGAACTTTAGAAAGGGGCATTGAACATCAGAGAACATCATTTCTGCTCCACACTCCATGTTTGTACTTCTTTGCAGGCTACCAGAGCAGTTACAGAGAAAGAGGTAAAGTCTAGGCTAGGGATTTTGGCTTCTGCCCAGAGCAAGACAGAACAACAAATGCATTAGTAAATATGAGTTCCATTTTTAATTTTATGGTGAAGGATAAACACATATAAAATTAAGCAAGCTCCTAGTCTTGCAATGTAGGCATTGGGACTATATTGAGTTGTTTATCATGGTAAATAAAATTTGTACTTTAGAACAAGTTACCAATGGTGTTATATATAATTTGTGAGGAATTCAGACACCTTATATTGGAAATGAGTTGGATGCATGCCCCTTAATTGTCATCACAATATATTCTGTTTTACCACTGTATTTTCTCTCTTTTCTTTAGCTTTCTTAAACAAGTGGTAATTAAACTGATAATTTTATTGTGTATATTCAGTGATTTCTGCAGAGTAGATAGTCCATCCATGTTTGAGGAATAAATTTAAAAGTCGGTCTCGGCAAGAGGCTTTATTGCAATCATTAGAAGTTGGTTAACAACATGTACTTTATCTATTTATTTTATTAGTTTTTAAAGGTTGCTTCCTAATAATTTAATATCAGGAGGCTGCGTTTCACCTAAAACTTTCTCAGAGATCCTCCTTTGCTTCACCTATGCCTAAGATGAAATGATCACTATTTATTATGTATTCCTGCTAATCATTCAATTATAATTATACTCATACTCCTAGGACATATTTCAAAATTAAAATTATTTTTGTAATGATAAATGTAAGGTAAACAAAATAGTTACCGAATTAAGAATCATTAACTTTGCTTGTGACACTTGTATTTAAGTAAATATATATTTATTATACATTCACGGAGACTTTTGCGAAGGATTTTCATTTAAAAGCATCAAGAAGTATCATGTTGCCAATGGCTATGAAAACAAACATATACAACCTTGGCTACAATATGAACTCCTATTTAATAAAAAGTTCATTAAATCTACCTGGTAAAAAATTAAAAAATAACTTTTCTAAAGAATACCTCATAATTGAATTATTAAGCACATTTATAAGATAACCTAATTTGGGTAGTTCAAATGTTTCCACTGGCAAAATAATTTTGCTTTATATGAAGTTTAAATCTACTCTAGGTATATATTTGTGTTTAGGGTATATGAGGGAGACATAATTGGTTTTGTGATTTTATTTTCTGTTATTCTCAGGTAATATAAGAAGTAAAATTAGGTTCCTCTTTTAATGGAGGTTTCAGTTAAAAACAAAAATGAAACACATACTCACTTCCTAAGTCTGCAATCTTTTCTTTAAAGGGTCAATTAGTAAATGTTTTAGGCTAGTCAGCCATATGGTCTCTGTCACAACTATTCACCTCTGCTATAGTAAGCCAAATGGCCACAGACAATACTTGAACACAGGGGTGTGACTTTGTTTAAATAAAATTTTATTTACAAAAAGTGGTGGCAGACTTTTGCCGACAGTCCTTAGGTTGCCAACCTTTGTACCTACATCAATCTACAAATTCTTAGGAAAAGAATATATATATATTAAAGTATACTGAAGAATAAATACTGGTTTCTTTGTTGCGTTATCCTTGAATGACATTATCATTTTTCCATCTTTTAAAGTGTTTTTAAAATTATTTATCTGAGAATAAAATTGTCTCTTTGAATACATTTTAAATAAACTTATATAATTATAATGCATTTGTATTCAGAATGTGGTATTGCATTTGGTAAGGGTAAGACCAAATAAAACATAGACGAAAGATAATAATACACAAATATTTGGGCGACATTTTATGAAAAGACTTGTTGAAAATACTGTGACTTATTATCTTTTTAAAAAAAATTTTAAAAATGTAACTTCTACTTACTTTAGAGTGTTGTTGGGTATAATATAAAAAAGGAAATTATTTCTTCACCAGCAAGCAAAACTATCGTAGCTGGTGCTTGGTCTGTTTGCTCTTAGACATGTTCCTCACTTTTTCCTTGCTTTGTTCTCTATCACAAGATAGGAGACCTTTGCAGCTGCACTTTGCCATGCTCTCTTGACAGCTGGTTGTAGCTTGGTTTGGTCAGATGGCCCAGGGGTCATGGAACACCTCTTCATTCCTGTCCTCCAGTTTCAGAGTGGTTGCTTCTGATCTTTGTGTTACCTCACTGTCCTCTGTGTGGCTTAGATCTTACATGACAAGAGTAACAAATCACCTGCATTAAACATACACTATTTGAATACTTTCTCTGTGTTCTGTTTTCTCAGTAGGCCTCTGATTGATACAAGCAAGAAAAGGTAAAAACTCTAGCTAGGCTCTATTTCACTAGAGCCATTTGAAATATCCAAGATATGCTATCTTGTGATTGCACTGAATAACTTAATTATCATGTACTTAGAAATGTTCATTTATTTATTTTTCCACCAGCTGGATTAAATTACTGGCTGACCTTTATGAAAAGCATTTTGTCGGTAACATATGATTAAGCATTATAAATGTTACCCTAAAAATCAAGAAATGTCTGTTTAGTTTATAAAGTTATCACTGAATTCTTTATCATTTCCACATTAATAAGAAAATCAATTTATTAAAACATGGACTAATTGCTTTAGTAATTATAATACTGTTTTATTGCTATATACTTTAACATGCAGAGAATCAATGTTTTATCATGGGTAGCTACATGTGTAAAAAACAGTATTATGATCAATTGCA
Source organism: Homo sapiens (assembly GCF_000001405.40). NCBI lineage: Eukaryota > Metazoa > Chordata > Mammalia > Primates > Hominidae > Homo > Homo sapiens. The sequence continues at coordinate 23,193,444 of NC_000005.10, read as the reverse complement.
TTATAAAATATATGCATGAGAATGTTATACAATTATCTTCTAGTGTTGCATTTTAGGCACAGTTAAACCACTCTGATATTACGAAACAAAATGAGCTCCCTCATAACCAAACTCTGTTAAGTTGCATAAATTACTTAATCTGACTGTACATCACCGATATCTTATATAATAAAGATGAACAAGGGGATTTTAGGAGAATTAAATGAGATTTTATATGTAAATCCCATAGCACAAAGTTTGACACTCATTAAATCTAGGTTTACTTTCTCAAAAACAAATTATCCTGGTAATACTAATTCTTAACTAGAAAGGATAAAATGTTAAAAGTTAAATGTCTTATTCCATTTAGACAAAAAGTATTTTTGTTTGTTTGTTTCATGGTTTTACCCTAAACAAAGTTCTTAGGCAAATTACATTTCTCATTTATGGATCAGGATGCACTGATACCTCCAAAATGTCAAAATAATATCTATTTGTTTATTTAGCCATGTAAGGTTTGTCTTATGAAGGCAAATATCTAAATTCTAAAAATATTCTCAAGGTTTTTTTTTTTTGTGATTTCATTTTAATTCTTAGCCTGTATTTGAAATCAGGCAAATTAAACCTATTTATAAAACATATTTTAATGAAGACAGTTGTAACCATGGGCTTATTTTATTAAACTCTAAATGAATGTTCTGAGCTGCATGGCCCCTGCTGATGAAGACATTTTGTATCTAAAATTCTGTAAGTTTTTAAAATGAAAGATTTCTTATGCCTCCTCTAACTTCAGATCTGCTACTCATAATTCATTGTAGTAATCATTTTTTCAAATTAGAAATTTTGACATGCATAGCCATGGCAAATGCATTCGGTAGTCACGTGGCCTATTTAATTTTAAATCTTCATTTTTATGCATATCCTGGAAGTTAACAGCAGTGTTCTATATACAGGTGAATTTAATGAACAGATATTTGGAAGTTTAGAAAAAGACAACAGGGTAAGAACTAGCTCCTAATTCTCTGTCCTTTTCAAAAGATTCCTGAACTATTTTTAAAGGGAGCAAAAATAAAAAATGTATCTTCATTCATGTTGAAACTAGGTAACAGTAAGAACCATATACTATAAAATATTTATACAGTATTACGTAGAATTTACGTCAAAATGAAGAAAGATATACAGAGCCAATGCATGGTACCCAGTCATGAGAAAATAGGGCACTGTTGTAAGAAATAGTCATCAGGCACATGAAAAAAAATGTATATGTATTTCTTTTTTCGTTGTTATTATACTTTACATTCTGGGTTACATGTGCACAACGTGCAGGTTTGTTACATAGGTATACATGTGCCATGCTGGTTTGCTGCACCCAACAACTCGTCATTTACATTAGGTATTTCTCCTAATGCTATCCCTCCCTAGCCCCCCACTGCCCGACAAGCCCTGGTGTGTGATGTTCTCTGCCCTGTGTCCAAGTGTTCTCATTGTTCAACTCCCACCTATGAGTGAGACATGGGGTGTTTGGTTTTCTGTCCTTGTGATAGTTTTCTGAGAATGATGGTTTCCAGCTTCATCCATGTCCCTGCAAAGGACATGAACTCATCCTGTTTTATGGCTGCATAGTATTCTATGGTGTATATGTGCCACATTTTCTTAATGCAGTCTATCATTGATGGACATTTAGGTTGGTTCCAAGTCTTTGCTATAGTGAATAGTGCCACAATAAACATACATGTGCATGTATCTGTATAGTAGGATGATTTATAATCCTTTGGGTATATACCCAGTAATGGGATTGCTGGGTCAAATGGTATTTCTATTTCTAGATCCTTGAGGAATCGCCACAGTCTTCCACAATGGTTGAAATAATTTACAGTTCCACCAACAGCGTAAAAACTTTCCTATTTCTCCACTTCCTCTTCAGCATCTGTTGTTTCCTGACTTTTTAATGCTCACCATACTAAGTGGCGTGGATGATATCTCATTGTGGTTTTGATTTGCATTTCTCTGATGACCAGTGATGATGACCATTTTTTCATGTGTCTATTGGCTGCATAAATGTTTTCTTTTGAGAAGTGTCTGTTCATATCCTTCACCCACTTTTTGATGGGGTTGTTTGTTTTTTTCTTGGAAATTTGTTTAAGTTCTTTGTAGATTCTGGATATTAGCCTTTTGTCAGATGGGTAGATTGCAAAAATTTTCTCCCATTCTGTAGGTTGCCTGTTCACTATAATGGTAGTTCTTTTGTTGTGCAGAAGCTTTTTAGTTTAATTAGATCTATTTGTCTACTTTGACTTTTGTTGCCATTGCTTTTGATGTTTTAGTCATGAAGTCCTTGCCCATGCCTATGTCCTGAATGGTATTGCCTAGGTTTTCTTCTAGGGTTTGTATGGTTTTAGGTCTAACATTTAAGTCTTTAACCCATCTTGAATTAATTTTTATATAAGGTGTAAAGAAGGGATCTAGCTTTAGCTTTCTACATATGGCTAGCCAGTTTTCCCAGCACCATTTATTAAATAGGGAATCCTTTGCCATTTCTTGTTTTTGTCAGGTTTGTCAAAGATCAGATAGTTGTAGTTGTGTGGTGTTATTTCTGAGGCCTTTGTTCTGTTCCACTGGTCTATATATCTGTTTTTGTTACTGTATATATAGCAGGTGTATATACCAGTACCATGCTGTTTTTGTTACTGTAGCCTTGTAGTATAGTTTGAAGTCAGTTAGCATGATGCCTCCAGCTTTGTTCTTTTTTTTTTAGGATTGTCTTGGCAATGTGGGCTCTTTTTGATTCCATATGAACTTTAAAGTAGTTTTTTCCAATCTCATGAAGAAAGTCATTGGTAGCTTGATGGGGTTGGCATTGAATCTTTAAATTACCTTGGGCAGTATGGCCATTTTCACAACATTGATCTTTCCTATCCATGAGCATGGAATATTCTTCTGTTTGTTCATGTCCTCTTTTATTTCATTGAGCAGTGGTTTATAGTTCTCCTTGAAGAGGTCCTTCACTTCCCTTGTAAGTTGGATTCCTAGGTATTTTATTCTCTTTGTAGCAATTGTGAATGGGAGTTCACTCCTGATTTGGCTCTCTGTTTGTCTATTATTGGTGTATAGGTATGCTTGTGATTTTTGCACATTGATTTTGTATCCTGAGACGTTGCTGAAGTTGCTTATCAGCTTAAGGAGATGTTGGGCTGAGACCATGGGGTTTTCTAAATATACAGTCATATCATCTGCAAACAGGGACAATTTGACTTTCTTTTTTCCTAATTGAATACACTTTATTTCTTTCTCTTGCCTGATTGCCCTGGCCAGAACTTCCAACACTATGTTGAATAGGAGTGATGAGAGAGGGCATCCTTGACTTACGACAGTTTTCAAAAGGAATACTTCCAGTTTCTGCCCATTCAGTATGATATTAGCTGTGGGTTTGTCATAAATAGCTTGTATTATATTGAGATACGTTCCATCAATATCTAGTTTATTGAGAGTTTTTAGCATGAAAGGCTGCTGAATTTTGTCAAAGGCCTTTTCTGCATCTATTGAGATAATCGTGGTTTTTGTCATTGGTTCTGTTTATGGGATGGATTACGTTTATTGATTTGTGTATGTTGAACCAGCCTTGCATCTCAGGGATGAAGCCAACTTAATCGCGGTGGATAAGCTTTTTGATGTGCTGCTGGATTCAGTTTGCCAGTATTTTATTGAGGAGTTTTGCATCAATGTTCGTCAGGGACATTGATCTAAAATTCTCTTTTTTTTGTTGTGTCTCTGCCAGGCTTTGGTATTAGGATGATGCTGTCCTCATAAAATGAGTTAGGGAGGATTCCCTCTTTTTCTATTGATTGAAATAGTTTCAGATGGAGTGGTAACAGCTCCTCTTTTTACCTCTGCTAGAATTTGGCTGTGAATCTGTCTGGTCTTGGACTTTTTTTGGTTGGTAGGCTATTAATTATTGCTTCAATTTCAGAGCCTATTATTGGTCTATTCAGAGATTCAACTTCTTCCTGGTTTAGTCTTGGGAAAGTGTATGTGTCCAGGAATTTATCCATTTCTTCTAGATTTTCTAGTTTATTTGCGTAGAGGTGTTTATAGTATTCTTTGATGATAGTTTGTATTTCTGTGGGTTCTGTGGTGATATCCTCCTTTATCATTTTTTATTGCATCTATTTGATTCTTCTCACTTTTCTTTTTTATTAGTCTTGTTAGCAGTCTATCAATTTTGTTGATCTTCTCAAAATACCAGCTCCTGGATTCATTGATTTTTTGAGGGTTTTTTTTTTGTGTGTGTGTCTCTATCTCCTTCAGTTCTGCTCTGATCTTAGTTATTCCTTATCTTCTGTTAGCTTTTGAATGTGTTTGCTCTTGCTTCTCTAGTTCTTTTAATTGTGATGTTAGGGTGTCGATTTTAGATCTTTCCTGCTTTCTCTTGTGGGCATTTAGTGCTATAAATTTCCCTCTACACACTGCTTTAAATGTGTGGTTTTTGAGTGAGTTTCTTAATCCTGAGGTCTAATTTGATTTTCCTGTTGTCTGAGAGACAGTTTGTTGTGATTTCTGTTCTTTTACATTTGCTGAGGAGTGCTTTACTTCCAATTATGTGGTCAATTTTAGAATAAATGCGATGTGATGCTGAGAAGAATGTATATTCTGTTGATTTGGGGTGGAGAGTTCTGTAGATATCTACTAGGTCCACGTGGTGCAGAGCTGAGTTCAAGTCCTGGATATCTTTGTTAACCTTCTGTCTCGTTGATCTGTCTAATATTGACAGTGGGGTGTTAAAGTCTCCCATTATTATTGTGTGGGAGTCTAAGTCTCTTTGTAGGTCTCTAAGGACTTGCTTTATGAATCTGGATCCTCCTGTATTGGGTGCATATATATTTAGGATGGTTAGCTCTTCTTGTTGAAATGATCCCTTTACCATTATGTAATGGCCTTCTTTGTCTGTTTTGATCTTTGTTGGTTTAAAGTCTATTCTATCAGAGACTAGGATTGCAACCCCTGCTTTTTTTACTTTCCGTTTGCTTGGCAGATCTTCCTCCATCCCTTTATTTTGAGCCAATGTGTGTCTCTGCACGTGAGATGGGTCTCCTGAATACAATAAATGGATGGGTCTTGACTCTTTATCCAATTTTCCAGTCTGTGCCTTTTAATTGGGGCATTTAGCCCATTTAAATTTAAGGTTAATATTGTTATGTGTGAATTTGATTCTGTCATTATGATGTTAGCTGGTTATTTTGCTCGTTAGTTGATGCAGTTTCTTCCTAGCATCGATGGTCTTTATAATTTGGCATGTTTTTGTGGTGGCTGGTACTAGTTGTTCCTTCCCATGTTTAGTGCTTCCTTCAGGAGCTCTTGTAAGGCAGGCCTGGTGGTGACAGAATCTCTTAACATTTGCTTGTCTGTAAAGGATTTTATTTCACCTTCACTTATGAGTTTAGTTTGGCTGGATATGAAATTCTGGGTTGAAAATTCTTTTCTTTAAGAATATTGAATATTGGCTCCCACTCTCTTCTGGCTTGTAGAGTTTCTGCCGAGAGATCCCTTGTTAGTCTGATGGGCTTCCCTTTGTGGGTAACCCGCCCTTTCTCTCTGGCTGTCGTTAACATTTTTTTCTTCATTTCAACCTTGGTGATTCTGACAATTATGTGTCTTGGGGTTGCTCTTCTCAAGGAGTATCTTTGTGGTGTTCTCTGTATTTCCTGAATTTGAATGTTGGCCCGCCTTGCTAGATTGGGGAAGTTCTCCTGGATAATATCCTGCAGAGTGTTTTCCAACTTGGTTCCATTCTCCCCAACACTTTCAGGTACACCAATTAAACGTAGATTTGGTCTTTTCACATAGTCCCATATTTCTTGGAGGCTTTGTTCATTTCTTTTTACTCTTTTTTCTATAAACTTGTATTTTCACTTTATTTCATTAATTGGATCTTCAATCACTGATATCCTTTCTTCCAATCAATCGAATCAGCTATTGAAGCTTGTGCATGCGTCAAGGAGTTCTCGTGCCATGGTTTTCAATTCCATCAGGTCATTTAAGGTCTTCTCTACCCTGTTATTCTAGTTAGCCATTTGTCTAACCTTTTTTCAAGGTTTTTAGCTTCCTTGTGATGGGTTAGAACATGCTCCTTTAGCTCAGAGATGTTTGTTATTAACGACTTTCTGAAGCCTACTTCTGTCAACTCGTCAAAGTCATTCTCCGTCCAGCTTTATTCCATTGCTGGCAAGGAGCTGCAATCCTTTGGAGGAGAACAGGCACTCTGGTTTTTAGAATTCTCAGCTTTTCTGCTCTGGTTTTCCCCCATCTTTGTGGTTTTATCTACCTTTGGTCTTTGATGTTGGTGACCTACAGATGGGGTTTTGGTATGGATGTCCTTTTTGTTGATGTTGATGCTATTTCTTTCTGTTTGTTAGTTATGCTTCTAACAGGTCTCTCAGCTGCAGGTCTGTAGAAGTTTGCTGGAGGTCCACTCCAGATGCTGTTTTCCTGGGTATCACCAGTGGAGGCTGCAGAACAGCGAATATTGCAGAACAGCAAATATTACTGCCTGATCCTTCCTTTGGAAGCTTCATCCCAGAGGAGCACCTGCCTGTATGAGGCATCTGTCGGCCCCGACTGGGAGGTATCTCCCAGTTAGGCCGCATGGGGGTCAGGGACCCACTTGAGGAGGCAGTCTGTCCATTCTCAGAGCTCAAACACCATGCTGGGAGAACTATTGCTCTCTTCAGAGCTGTCAGACAGGGCTGTTTAAGTCTGTGAAAGTTTCTACTGCCTTTTGTTCAGCTATGCCCTGCCCACAGAGGTGGAGTCTATAGAGGCAGTAAGCCTTGTTGAGCTGCGGTGGGCTTTGCCCAGTTTGAGCTTCCCAGCTGCTTTGTTTACCAACTCAAGCCTCAACAAGGGCAGATGCCCCTCCCCCCTGCCAGGCTGCAGCCTGGCAGTTTGATCTCAGATGGCTGCACTAGCAGTGAGCAAGGCTCCATGGGTATGGGACCTGCCATGCCAGGCACAGGAGAGAATCTCCTGGTCTGCTGGTTGCAGTATTTGGGCAGGAGTGTCCCATTTTTCCAGATACAGTCTGTCACGGCTTCCTTTGGCTAGGAAAGAGAAATCCCCGGACCCCTTGTGCTTCCCGGGTGAGGCAACACCCCGCCCTGCTTTGGTTCGCCCTCCATGGGCTGCACCCACTGTCCAACCAGTTTCAGTGAGATGAACCAGGTACCTTAGTTGGAAATGCAGAAATCACCCATCTTCTCTGTTCATCACACTGGGAGCTGCAGACCGGAGCTGTTCCTATTCAGCCATCTTAGAATGGAACCTGTGTATTTCAAATATTTCTCCAAATGTGGCAGCAATTGTGAATTAGAAAAATTTTCCTCCAGTTACAAAACAGTAGGGATAAAAGAGATGGTCTGAGGATATATAAAACCAGTATCTTTTGGTCTGGCTTTCCCAGTTGATGAATATATCACTCTTATTTAGAACTCTGGTCCCTGAAGGTGAATTGAAGACATACTCATGGTTATGAACCAATTAAGTCTTTCAAAGGCAGATTGATTTAGCCTTTAAATCTGCTATTTCTGCAATTTTTCTCACCTTAGTAATTGGGTCCACTATTTTTCTAATTGCTCAAATAAGAAAACATGATTTTAAATTGGATTCCTCCCTTTGGCTCATTCTATACAACTTATTTCTGAGCAAGTCCTATAGATTCTTCTTCAAAGCCATTAGTCTCTCTCCATCTCCCTTTGATGCAGTTGTCAGGGTAAAGGCCTTCCATCTGGCCTTGCTACTTATGTATTTACCGTCTCTAATCAATTGTCCATAGGACAGTCTGTGTCAACTATACCAAACAAACACACAGGTGCACAAACACACACACACATACACACACACACACAGCCTCCCAAAAACATAAATTAGGTTGTATCTGTTTGCTTATAACCCTTCACTAGCTTCTCTAGGCACAAGAAACAGAATTCAGATTAGCCACCATGCTTATTGTTCTGACACTCGGCCATAACTGAACTGTCTACCATTATAGCAGTTCATTTTCTCATATGGTGTAGGGAGGCCCTGAGACTGGATTTGCTCTTTCTTCTTCTTGAAACTCCACTCTCGAAATTCATCCCGTGGCTAGCTCCTTTCAATTTTTAAGCTGTAGCTTGAAGTCTGCTTCCCTGATGACCTTACATTTTTTCAATTACTAGCCTCTCTTTTTTGTATATAACACTCAATATAATTCATGGTTATTTCATTTTGAGGGATAGTTTTATTTAATTCCTTCTTTCTCATCCCAGACTGTGATATTTCCAGCTCCTGGCATACTACCTGATATGTTATTTAACTTCACAAATATTTCTTGAATAAATAAATGAGTGAATGACTGAACATTTACAGTACTATTTTTGAAAGTGAGTGTGACAAATAATCCCGTAGCCAGACAAATTGTTATGGGATGACCATGTAGAATATCCTCTAAGATATCAAAAATGCTGGAAGAATACTGACCTTTAAAACAAAATCTACTTGACCCTGACTGCTATTGAGCAACTGGAGTCACTGAGCAAAACAAGAATCTACAAATGATAAAGTTGTATTAATATGGTTTTGAAAATTGTGTGAAAATATTGTAAGTACAAAAATAAATATAGTAAAATTACATAACAAGTGCAATATTATGAATAGATCAATGTATTCGGAGATATAAAATAATAATTATAATTATTTGATTAATACTATTTGTTATCATTTTACCTTTTGAGCTGGTGACAAAAATTCAAGGTCATACAAACCAATGTGTGCTTTAGAAGCAAGAATTGGAAGGATAAGTATCAAGTTATTTTATTTTATAAGGATACATTAGTAGTGCTTTATTTTAAAATTTCTAACGTTATTAACTTAAGGAGTAGGATTACCTAAAGTTGTAAAAACAAGTACTGGTAAAAATATAAAAATAAAATAACTTTACATTTTTCAAATCAGTGGGTGTCTGCAGAGTGTATAGTGACCTTAAAAAAATAACTTTGATAACATCACAAATGGAAAGTAAAAAAAGTAAGAAAGCATTTGAAACAGAAATTATAAATCAAGATGACAGATATGACACTATAAGTACTATTCCTGTGATTGAAATTAAATTTACCATCAACAGGAATCACCTTTATAATAATATAGCATAATAAAGTTAATGTCATTCTCAAATCATAAAATGATTTTATAGGGAAGAGGAAAGTTGTAATTAAAACCAATGAGAAGAAACACTACCTTTTTTCTTTAGTTATGGGCAATTTTATTTAAGTAAGAAAACTACTTCTTGAATTTGGGAGGATATATAGGTCCAATATCAGGTACGTAGTATGTAGTTGGAAATAATTTTAGAGGGAAATGCATAATAAATTATTCGATTTTACATGTTTGTTAAACAGAAATAATCATAAACTATGGATAAAATTTAAAATATATAATACACATAAGAGTATGCTAATAAAATATAGACAATTTTATCTTCAATGATATTAAATAAACATGAAAATTGAGTGAAAATATTGTAAATACAAAAATAAATATAGTAAATAAAATTACATAACAAATTCAATATTATGAATAGATCAATGTATTCGGTGATATAAAATAATATAATTATTTGATTAATACTACTGTTATCATTTTTGACTGATAACAATATCATTGTTATCAAGTTGACTGTTTCTAATAAAATCTATGCCAGTCAGCAAGCTATTGTGAGAAGCAAAAACAAGAAGTGGCTGAAATGATATTACATTCTTGCTATCTCACAACCGAGGTGAGCCCAGAACCGAGCTGGGTTTCAGCAAAGCAGAGCACAGGTTAGTGAGATCCCCTCTGCACACTGGTCTCTTCCATGCAGCATTCCTGGAGTGATGATAGGGTGACCTGTGGTCTAACTAGCTCTAAGTCAAGGCCAAGTTTCCAGGAGGAGTTTGAAAGAAATACATACAGCACACACAGGAGAGAGATTGGGAGGACTTGGGCTGTGATTAAAAGGGAATGATTCTGAACAGACCAGAAAGGGACTTTCCTGGTTATTGCAGGTTTGCTGATTAGCTTGCAGGCATAGATCTAATTGAAAAAATTGAACTGAGTATTTGAAAATCTTGTTTCTCTTGCTTGTTGTCACTACAAGCATTGTTGCCTAGAAGGAAGTCTTCAGTGGGGAATAGCAGCACTTGTTCTTCTGAGGCTATTTATTTATAAGGTGCTGTTGGGATGTAGACTTCTTGGAGAAGTCTTGGAGAACCATCAAATGATGGTTCTCATTGTTCCTGCCGTTAGATAGCCCTCTTGAGCTTGTCCTGAAAAAACAAAATGGAAGGTCAATATGTACCATTAAATTTGTATTGCAATTTCAAGATTTATTGAATCTTATTAATTGATTTAAATTCTGAGTGGCAAGGGAAATAAAAACCTGGAAGCAGAAGTGCTTTTAGAAGTTATAGAATGTGTAGATCTCAGCATCAGAAAGATGGTGAAGCCTGTGCATGGTGGCTCATGCCTCTAATTCCAGCATTTTGGGAGGCTGAGGCAGGTGGATCACTTGAGGTCAGGAGTTTGAGACCAGCCTGGCCAACACAGAGAAACCCCAACTCTACTAAAAATACAAAAATTAGCCAACTGTAGTGGAATGCACCTGTACCCCCAGCTACTTGGGAAGCTGAGGCAAGAGAATCACTTGCACCCAGGAGGTGGAGGTTGCAGTGAGCAGAGATTGTACCACTGCCCTCCACCTGGATGACAGAAGTCTCAAAAAAAAAAAAAAAAAAAAAGATGGTGAAGAAAAAAATAGACAACACACTCTTCACTAGGTATAATTCAGAGATTATCAGAACATGTATGTACGTGGGGAAAAGATGTGAGTTTTATTTTCTTTTATAACTCTGTACTTTTAAACTTGAAATTACAAATGCATATGAACTTAGAAGTTCAAAGACAAAGAATAGAAAAGAATAACCATTCTCACCAACAACAGAATTAAAGTTGAACTGTGAATCATTAAATGTGAAAAACTGGGAAATAGTTATCTTTTTTGACAGTCATTTGATCTAAAATTGGTAGAGTACATTCAATTACTGATAAGATTTGTCAGCTGGGTGCGGTGACTCACACCTGTAATCCCAGTACTTTGGGAGGCCTAGGCGGGCGGATCACCTGTGGCCAGAAGTTCAAGACCAGTCTGACCAACGTGGTGAAACCCCGTCTCTACTAAAAATACAAAAATTAGCTGGGCATGGTGGTGGGCGCCTGTAATCCCAGCTACTTGGGAGACTGAGGCAGGGGAATTGCTTGAACATGGGAGGCGGAGGTTGCAGTGAGCTGAGATTGCGCCATTGCACTCCAGCCTGGGCAACGGAAGTGCAACTTCGTCTTAAAAAAAAAAAAAAAAAAGATTTGTCTTGTAAAAATATACAAAATCTATTGGTTTGTGCCTAAATAACAAAGTCCAATTTTTCATCTTCTGACTGAGAGAGTAAGCCTTTGCTCTAACAAGATGGGAATCCATTATTTGTCTCTTCTATATTTAATTTACACACAGAGTTTTAGTAAAGATATGTAAAAACTAATGAACTGTTTATAATCATCTATATTTTCTCCAAGGGTAATATCAACAAATCAACAACATATTTAGTATATTTATATCAATCCATTGACACTTTTGCCTAGGAATAAGTCTCACAGAAAATGATTTATTTTTATTGTCTGTACTAAGTATAAAACCATTTCAGGCCATCCTAATTAATGTTTTTTTATCTAATTCTTTGCTCATCATCTCTAAACATTAGGGAGTTTTATTTTATTTCTGTATTTATTTTTGGCTGAAAAGACTTGCTGGCTCACAGTGCATATCTCAGAAAGTTTAGAAACCCCTTACATGATATATTGTGTGGAATTTAAAAAGAAAAAACAGAAAGATCTTAAAGATTTTAATGATTAAATAAAAATCAGACTTACCTACACAGGTTGCTTTCAAACTTCAAAGTAGTTCACACTGCTGTAGCTGCGTGCTTGACATTTTTCTGTTTTTTATTGCAAGATGTTCCATGAAATAAAAAAAAATAAATAAGTCAACAGAGTGTCAAGGCAAGAAGACTTAGAATCAAACATAAACTGTGAAAAGTTATTAATACTGTCTCTAACAGACAGAGTTTATTATTTTTGCCTGTACTTCTAACCAAGTTATATTTCATCAGTACTCATTCTCAGCCAACCTCTCTGTGCTTTTTCCCTCCCTCCCTTCAGCATCTGGATTCTATTCATTAGTCACAGTAAGAAGTTGATCATCCTTGGCCAGGCGTGGTGGATCCCACCTGTAATCCCAGCACTTTGGGAAGCCAAGGCAAGTGGATCACCTGAGGTCAGTAGTTTGAGACCAGCCTGGCCAACATGATGAAACCATGTCTCTACTGAAAACAAGATATACACAAAAATTAGCTGGGCATGGTGGTGCATGCCTGTAATTCCAGCTACCTGAGAGGCTGAGGCAGGAATCTGGGAGATAGAGGATACAGTGAACCAAGATTGTGCCACTGCACTCCAGCCTGGGCAACAGAGTATGACTCCATCTCAAAAAAAAAAAAAAAAAAAAGAAAAGAGAAAAAGAAAGCTGGATCATCCTGCTCATGAACCTTTGAAATTAAAATAAAAGTTAGAAATAAAGAAGTTGCTCAACACAGAAGAAACATGTTTGCTTTCTATGTTACAGGCTTAGAGGTGATGCTCCAGCTGAGTGATTTCTACATGTGCCCTGAATAAAATTACAGTTATTTGAATTCTTGCTTTATGCTATGCATTGTGTCTGATACTTCATATAGTATGTAATTGAATTTTATAAGTAACCTGGTGAAGTAGTGCAATTATCATCTTCATTTTACTGATAAGGAAACTATGACATTACAAGGTTAAGGGAATGAGACAAAGTTTAAAGTGAGACATAAACCCCCAACTTGATATTTGCAGGCACAGTTGGAAACAGTGAAATAGTGGCCAGGAGGTTTGTTCTTTGTTAGTTGTAAATCCTGGACAGGCCCAGGTCTTCGTTCACAGTATACACTCTGTTATGTTCAATCATTAAAATAGGGATGCTAAACATAATATTTTGTGAGCATACTGAGTTTCTTCCTTTTTAATTTTGCTTCTGTGTTGAATGTGGGAGAAATCATAGCCAAATCAAGAGTAAGGATACAGCACAGATTACAAAATCATTATAGAAATATACCTTATATTTATGATCTAGATAAATATTTAAAATAATCTTAATGTTAATCTACTCACTAAAACGTCTAATTCTCTCCATTCTATATGTGTCATGATAACATGAAAATAATCTTGGTAAAAATAACTTGATGGGTGAAGAGGTGCCCTAATGATTTCGTATACTACGAGACAGTATTGATAGTGATTTCAATTTATATTCAACTTTCGGAACAGCTATTGCAAAAGAGTGTAATTTGTTTAAAACTTATTTCAAGTGATTTCCTGTATTCATTATAAGTTACTAGTTTCTTTTGCATTTTAGGAAATATGTTCTCCAGTTTACTTCACCTGCTTATATCAACTGGTCAGGCTCAAACCAAAATATAATAATAGGTCCTATTCAATTGTATTAAAACAATCTGTCTTTAAATCAAATTGCACGCTGACGCTGCTTTTGTGGATTTTGCTATGTGAGTGCTTGGTGTGAGCCAGACTCTCTTACCGTGAATGTTGTCATCTAAATTCTATGAGATAAGATGGCCGATTACAAGCAGCTCCGGTCTGCGGATCCCACTGAGAAGAACAAATATGGTGAGTGAATCCTGCATCTTCAGCTGAGGTGTCCATGTTTTCTCATTTGGACTGACTAGGCTGTTGTCAGGACTCATGGAGAGAGAGGAAAAGCAGTGTGGAGCGACAGCCCACCCAGGAGCTATCCTGGGTAAGGGGCACTCCCACCGGCAGCCAAGGGAGGTAGATAGTGATTATGCTACCCTACCAGGGAAACCATGCTTTTCCCATGGATCTGTGCAACTCACAGATCTGGAAATCCTCGTATGAGCCCACGCCACCAGGACCCTGGGTCCCAAGCACAGAGTTGTGTAGACTCTTCGGGCCGGTCGGGTTGTGGCAGCAGGCTGGAGACCACCTAAGACAACTGAGTTCCTGGGGAGAGGAAAGACCACCATCACTGCAGCTCACATCAGCTGTTTTCCCCTGTCAGTAATGGGGAGACTGGACGGTTTGGACTGTGTGGAATTCCCCACAGCACAGCACAACGGCTGTGGCAGATCATGGCTAGACTGCTTATTTAGCTGAGACCCAGATTGATGCTGTGACAGATCGTGGCTAGGCTGCTTACTTAGGTGAGACCCAGATTCATTCTTCCTCATCAGGCAGGGCCTCCCAGTGGGAATTTTTGCAGCTCCAGCCAGGAGTTTAGGAACAGAAGTTTGATTTCCCTGGGACAGAACCCCCGGGAGGAGGGACTGCCAGGGTCTCTACAGATCAGCAGAGTTAGTCTTTCCCCCGGCGGGCTCTGAGGAATCAGGGCAGTCTGGATGAGTGAAATTCCCCCGCAGTGCAGCACACCTGCTCCACCAAAGGGCAGTCAGACTGCTTCTTTAAGCAGGTCCCTGATCCTGTGCCTCTTGACTGGGTGAGACCTCCCAACAGAGGTCACCAGACACTTCATACAGGAGAATTCCCACCAGCATCAGATTGGTGTTCCTCTGGGAAAGAGCTCCCAGAGGAAGGAGCAGGCAGCCATCTTTACTATTCTGTAGCCTCCACTGGTGATACCTCCAAGTGCAGGAGGGACACAGGTGAATAGAGTCTGGAGTGGACCCCCAGCAAACCACAGCAACCCTGCAGAAGAGGGGCCTGATTGTTAAAAGAAAAACAAACAAACAGAAAGCAACAGCAACAAAACAACAACAGCAACAAAAGGACCCTACAAGAACCCCATCCAGAGGTCAACAGCTTCAACATTGAAGGTAGATAAACCTATTAAGATGAGAAAATATAAAGTAAAAATGCTGAAAATTCAAAAAGCCAGAGTGTCTCCTCTCCTACAAATGATTGCAACACCTCTTCAGTAAGGGCACAGAACTGGGCTGAGGCTGAGATGGATGAATTGACAGAAATAGGCTCTAGAAAGTGGGTAATAATGAACTTTGCTGAGCTAAAGGAGTACGTTCTAATTTAATGCAAAGAAGCTAAGAACAATGATAAAACATTACAGGAGCTGTTAACCAGAACAACTAGTTTAGAGAGGAACATAAATGATGTGATAGAGCTGAAAAACACAACATGAGAACTTTACAATGCAACCACAAGTATCAATAGCCAAATAGACAAAGTGGAGGAGAGAATCTCAGAGCTTAAAGACTATCTTGCAGAAATAAGATGGGCAGACAAGATTAGAGAGAAAAAAAGAAAAGAAATGAAACCTCCGAGAACTGTGAGATTATGTAAAAAGACTAAACTTATGACTGATTGGGGCACCTGAAAGATGAGGAGTATGGAATCAAATTGAAAAACATACTTCAGGATATCATCCAGAAGAACTTCTCAAACCTAGAAAGACAGGCCAATATTGAAATTCAGGAAATCCAGACAACTCCAGTAAAATACCCAATGAGAAGATCCACCCCAAGACACATAATCATCAGATTTTCCACATTTGAAATAAAAAGAAAAAATGTTAAGGGCAGCTAGAGAGAAAAGCCAGTTCACCTACAAAGGAAAGCCCATCAGATGAACAGCAGACCTTTCAGGGAAAACCCTACAAGCCAGAAGAGAATGAGGGCCAATATTCAATATTCTTAAAGAAAATAATTTTCAACCCAGAATTTCATATTTGGCCAAACTAAGCTTCATAAATGAAGGAGAAATAAAATCATTTTCAGACAAGCAAATGCTGAGGGAATTCATCACCACCAGACCTGCCTTGCAAGAGTTCCCAAAAGAAACACTTAATATGAAAAAGAAACACCATTACCAGCCACTACAAAAACACACCGAAGTACACAGACCAATGTCACTATGAAGCAACTATATTAACAAATCTGCAAAGTAACCAGCCAGAATCATGAAGACACGATCAAATTCACACATAACAATATTATGCTTAAAGGTAAATGGCCTAAATGCCCCAATTAAAAGACACAGAATGGCAAGCTGGATAGAGTAAAGACCCATCTGTGTGTGTATTCAAGAGACCCATCTCAAGTGCAGAGACACACCTAGGCTCAAAATAAGGAAATCGAGGAAAATTTACCAAGCACACGGAAAACAATATAAAGCAGGGTTTGCAATTCTAGTTTCTGACAAAACAGATTTTAAACCAACAAAGATAAACAAAGATGAAGAAGGGCATTACATATGGTAAAGAGTTCAATTCAACAAGAAGAGCTAACTATCCTAAATATATATGCACCCAATACAGGAGCACCAAAATTCATAAAATAAGTACCTACAGACCTACAAAGAGATTTAGACTCCCACACAATAATAGTGGGAGACTTTAACACACCAACATCAACATTAGATCACCGAGACCAAAAAAATGTAAAAAAAAGATATTCAGGACTTGAACTCAGCTCTGGATGAAGTAGACCTGAGAGATATCTACAGAACTCTCCACCCCAAAACAACAAAATATACATTCTTGTCAGCACCACATGGCACTCACTCTAAAACTGATCACATAATTGGAAGTAAAACGCTCCTCAGCAAAAGCAAAATAACTGAAATAATAACATTTTCTCAGACCACAGTGCAATTAAATCAGAATTCAAGATTAAGAAACCTAGTCAAGACCACACAACTACATGGAAATCGAACAATTTGTTTCTGAATAACTCAGGGTATATAATGAAATTAAGGTAGATATCAAGAAATTCTTGGTAACTAATGAGAGCAAAATGACAATGTACCAGAACATCTGGGATGCAGCTAAAGCAGTATTAAGAGGAAAATTTATAGCACTAAATTGACACATCAAAAAGCTAGAAATATCTCAAATCGACATCCTAACATCACAACTAAAAGAATGAGAGAACGAAGAGCAAACAAACCCCAAAGCTAGCAGAAGACAAGAAATGACCAAGATCAGTGTGGGGCTGAAGGAGATAGAGATTAAAAAAACTCTTGAAAGAATCAGTGAATCCAGGAGCTGGTTTTTTGAAAAAAATTAATAAAATAAGTAGACTTCTAGCTGGATTAATAGAGAAGAAAAGAGAGAAGAATCAAATAGACACAATAAAAAATGATAAAGGAGATATTAACACTGTCCCCACAGAAATGCAAACAACCATCAGCGAATACTATAAACACATCTATGCAAATAAACTAGAAAATCTAGAAGAAATGAACAAGTTCCTGGACATATATACACTCCCAAGACTGAACCATGAAGGTGAATCCCTGAATAGACCAACAATGAGTTCTGAAATTGAGGCAGTAATTAGTAGGCTACCAACCAAAAAAAAAGCCCAGGGCCAGATGGATTCACAGCTGAATTCTACCAGAGGTACAAAGAAGAGCTGGTACCATTTCTTCTGAAACTATTCTAAACAATTAAAAAGGAGGGCCTCCTTAACTCATTTTATGAGGCCAGCATCATCCTGATAACAAAACCTGGTAGAGATACAACAAAAAAAGAAAATTGGCCAGGCACAGTGGCTCACACCTGTAGTCGCAGCACTTTGGGAGGCTGAGGCAGGCGGATCACAAGGTCAGGAGATCGAGACTATCCTAGCTAACACAGTGAAACCCCGTCTCTACTAAAAAAATACAAAAAATTAGCCAGGTGTGGTGGTGGGCACCTGTAGTCCCAGCTGCATGGGAGGCTGAGGCAGGAGAATGGTGTGAACCCGGAAGGCAGAGCTTGCAGTGAGCCGAGATTGTGCCACTGCACTCCAGCCTGGGTGACAGAGCCAGACTCCGTCTCAAAGAAAAGAAAAGAAAAGAAAAGAAATCTTCAGGCCAATATCCCTGATGAACCTAGATGCAAATGTCATCAATAAAATACTGGCAAAGCAAATCCAGCAGCACATCAAAAAGCTTATCCAGCACCATCAAATTTGCCTTATTCATGGAATCCAAGCCTGGTTCAACATATGCAAATCGATAAACGTGATTCATCACATAAACAGAACTAAAGACAAAACCCACATGATTATCTCAATTGATACAGAAAAGGCCTTCAACAAAATCCAACATCCCTTCATGTTAAAAACTCTCAATAAATTAGATATTGAAGAAACATACATCAAAACAATAAGAGCCATTTATGACAAACCTGCAGCCAACATTATACTGAATGCCAGAAGCATTCCCCTTGAAAGCCAGAAGCATTCCCCTTGAAAACAGCCACAAGGCAAGGATGCCTTCTCTCACCACTGCTATTCAACATAGTATTGGAAGTTCTGGCCAGGGCAATCAGGAAAGAGAAAGAAATAAAAAAGTATTCAATTAGGAAAAGAGGAAGTCAAATTATCTGTTTGCAGCTGACATGATCATATATCTAGAAAACTCCATCATCTCAGCCCAAAAGTTTCTTAAGCTGATAAGCAACTTCAGCAAATTCTCAGGACACAAAATCAATGTGCAAAAGTCACAAACATTTCTATACACCAGTGACAGGCAAGATGAGAGCCAAATCATGAATGAACTCCCATTCGCAATTGCTGCAAAGAGAAAAAAATACCTAGGAATATAGCTAACAAGGGAAGTGAAGGACTTCTTCAAGGAGAACTACAAACTACTGCTCAAGGAAATCAGAGAGGACACACCAAATGGAAAAACATTTCATCCTCATACATAGGAAGAATCAATGTCATGAAAATGGCCTTACAGCCCAAAGTAATTTATAGTTCCAACATTATTCCCATCAGACTACCATTAACATTCTTCACAGAATTAGAAAAAAATGATTTTTAAATTTATATGGAACCAAAAAGAGCCCATATAGCCAAGACAATCTTAACCAAAAAGAACAGAGCTAGAGGCATCATGCTACCTGACTTCAAACTATATTACAAGGCAACAGTTACCAAAACAGCTTGGTAGTGGTGCAAAAACAGAAATATAGACCAATGGTACAGAATAGAGAACTCAGAAATAAGACCACACCTTTACAACCATCTGATCTTTGACAAACCTGACAAAAACAAGCAATGGGGAAAGGATTCCCTACTTAATAAATGGTGGTGCGATAACTGACTAGCCATATGCAGAAAATTAAAACTGGACCCCTTCTGTATATCTTATGCAAAAATTAACTCAAGATGGATTAAGGCTTAAATGTAAAACCAAAAACTATGAAAACTCTAAAGAAAGCCTAGGCAATACCATTCAGGACATAGACATGAGCAAAGATTTAATGACAAAAACATCAAAAGCAATTGCAACAAAAGTAAATATTGACAAATAGAATCTAATTAAACAGAAGACCTTCTGTACAGGTAAATAAAATATCATCAGAGCAAGCAGACAACCTACAGAATGGGGAAAAAAACTTTTGCAACCTATTCATCTGACAAAGGTATAATATTCAGAGTTTACAATGAAGTTAAACAAATTTACAAGAAAAAAACAACCTGATACCGTTTGGCTTTGTCTGCATCCAAGTGTCATCTTAAATTGTGGTTCCCATATTGCCCACATGTCATAAAAGGGACCCGGTAAGAAGTAATTGAATCATGGGGGCTGTTACCCTTATGACGTTCTCATGGTAATGAGGGAGTTCTCAGGGGATCTGATGGTTTTATAAGGGACTTCTCCCCTTCTTATTGGCACTTCTTCTTGCTGCTGCCATGTGAAGAAGGATGTGTTTTCTTCCTCTTCCAACATGATTGTAAGTTTTCTGAGGCCTCTCCAGCCCTGCAGAACTGTGAGTCAATTAAACTTCTTTCTTTTATAAATTACCCAGTCTTGGCTATTTCTTAATAGCAGCACAAGAACTGATACACAACCCTGTCAAAAAGCAGGCAAAGGACATCAACAGGCCCTTCTCAAAAGACAAGTGACCAAGAAAGAGATGAACAAAAGCTCAACATCACTGATTATTAAAGAAATGCAATCAAAACCACATTGAGATACCATGCCGCCCAAGTCAGAACGGCAATTATTAAAAAGTTTAGAAGCAATAGATGTCGGGGAGGCTGCAAAGCACTAGGAACACTTTTACATTGTTGGTGGGAATGTAAATTAGTTCAACCATGGTAGAAGACAGTGTGGTGATTCCTCAAATGCCTAGAACCAGAAATACCATTTGACCCAGCAACCCCACTACTGGGTATATACCCAAAGGAATATAAATCATTCTATTATAAAGATACATACACTTGTATGTTCAGTGCAGCACTATTCACAATAGTAAAGACACGGAATCAATCCAAATGCCCACAAATGATAGACTGGAAAAAGAAAATGTGGTACATATGCACCATGGAATACGATGCAGCCATAAAAAAGGAATGAGATCATGTCGTTTGCAGGTACATGGATGGAGCTGGAAGCCATTATCCTCAGCAGAATAATGCAGGAACAGAAAACCAAATACTGCATGTTCTCATTAATAAGTGGGAGATAAACAATGAGAACACATAGACACATGAAGGAGAATAACACACTGGAGCCCATTGGGGGTATAGGAGGAGGGGCAGCATCAGGAAAAATAGCTAATGCATGCTGAGCTTAATACTTAGGTGACGGGTTGATAGGTGCAGCAAACCACCATAGCACATGCTTATCTATGTAACAAACCTGCATGTCCTGCACATACACCCTGGACCTTAAAATAAAATATAATTAAATTAAATTTAAAGAAAATTATATGGGGTAGGTTTTATCATGGAGTTGGGAAAATGAAATAAAGGAGAAGGAATTTTCCTATGGCCCCGTTGCTTATAAGCAATAAATAGTATTTGAATCCAGATTGTCAAACTATTGTCATGGGGAAAACTTAGGAACGACAACAATCAAGGCAACAGCCTGTCATATTTATGATGTGTTTGCACCTCATCCAGTTTGAGCTAAGCTGAATCCCAGGTAAAGTTGCTTTACTTTGGCCCAGGTGACCTATAACAAATCAAACCTGGGCAAGCTGCCTCTGGCCCATTCCCCTTATGTCTAAATTCAAATGAACTTCCTATTGTTCTTACCTTCTGACAGTGGTGCCAGGCCTGAATGGCAATGCACACATTAAAGATAAACACGCAAGCGAGAAAGACAAGGCACCAGTACTTTTAATTCATATTATTCTCCCTTTGAGCTCATCACCTGAGAATACCTCTCAGTGAAAGGGGAGAAAATTGCCAGTAGAAGATAAAGATTTATTACCCACTCCACCCTACCCCAAATCAAAAGAATTTTGCATGAACTAAAAATTAAACTTTAAATCCTAATGGGTAGAGGCAAGAAGAGAGAAACAGTATGGGGTTTCTGGCAAGAGAGATGTTGGATGGAAAGAATACTGAGAGTGTGAGAGAAGACAGAACTGAGAAAAGAGGCAGAGATAAGAAATGGGACATGACTCATATCGTCAAAAGGAGGGAGATGAATGGATGGATGAATAGGAAGCCAGGAATTTGGAAGTTGATGGAATACTTTTGTGATCAGAATTCTCTTTAATTCATTCTCTCCTAGATTTCTTCAGTGATTGACTGTATCACTATAGCAGTTCAGGCACCTCTGTAGAGGGGCAGCACACGGTTTCTGGGGAATATCTGATTACATTCAAATCTTGGCAGTGCAACTTATTAGCTCTGCACCTTTCATAATTTAACTTAATTTCTCCTTACCTCAATTTCCTCATATTAGAAATGATTCCAAATAAAATGTACAGAGGAGTCTTATGGATGTTAAATGAGGTAGAGAAGTTCCTGTCACATCAGTGAGGCTTGTAGACGTTAATGAAGTAGAAGAGTTCCTGTCACGTAAGTGCCCAATAAATACTAGCCATTACTAATATATTACTAATCTTGCTTGTCCTACATTTTTCCTCTTTATAAGCATTATCTCTCTAAATCACACCCAAACTTCTCTTTCTTCTGCTCCATCTACACTGTGACATGACAAGAATGATTCAAAGCCCAAGTCCCCTGAATTGATATATAACCTCCTCTGGGTTTTGGCTGCTTTCTGATTTTCTACCTGAAACTTTCTTGGAATAGCTGCTCCTGCAACACAAAACACTTACATCCCTATAAGAATGTTGTTGCTTCTCATCTCCTTGCCTTGTTAGCTGTCTTCTGCATGGAGGTTTACTCTTCACTGTGCATTTAATTCTACCATTTATCCAATATCTCAATCAATATTGGCATTAGATAAAAATCTGAATTGGCTAACTATTGATGTGTAACATCATTACCAAATATCTAGCAACTTAAAAACGCATACACACATTTACTTAGGGCCCAGTTTCTTAGGGCCCAGCTTAAGTGAGTCTTTAGTCTTAGCCTCTTTCACAAGACTAATCAGGATGTCAGCCGGGCTGCATTTATCTCAAGACTCCACTGAGAATAGATCAATTTTCAGGTTCACGTGGTTGTTGGCAGAATTGAGTTTCTTTTGGTTGTTGGACTGAGGAACTCATTGTCTAGCTGGCTGTTGGCCAGAGGCCACTCTTAGCTTCATGCTAGATGGGGTAGGGGAGGAAAAATAATTTCCCCTCTATTTTTCTGAGTTTTTAGCTGGGAGTCTGTGACATTGTGAAATCTATATTTGATCTTTTACTTCATTTTCTGGAACACAACTTCTAAAATCCTTAGAATCTCCAAAATGATGTATTTCTGTATGCTAATGAGTCGGCTGGCGGCCGGAAGCCCCTAGCTGGCTTCAGGTTGTGGGTTGGTCACCAGAAAGTCCAAGGAATGATTAGAGGGTTGGAACATTCAAATCTCACCCCCTAACCTCAGAGGAGGGGAGTAGGATTGAAGGCTAAGCTGATTGCCAGTTCCCAATGGTTTAATTACTCATGCCTGAGTAATGAAACCTCCATAAAACCTGAAAGAACAGGGTTCAGAGAGCTTCCAGATAGGCAATCACGTGGAGGTTCCTAGAAGGTGATATACCCAGAGAGGTCTTAGAAGCTCTGTGCCCCTTCTTGTATCCTTTGTAATATCTTTTATATCTTTTATAATAAGCTAGTTGATGAGGCACGGTGGCTCATGCCTGTAATCCCAGTGCTTTGAGAGGCTGAGGAGGGAGAATCACTTCTGGTCAGAAATTTGAGACAAGCCTGGGCAGCATAGCAAGACCCTCAACTCTAAAAATGTAAAAATAAAAATAAATTAGCTGGACAGAGCAGTGTGTGTCTGTAGTCCCAGCTAGTCGGGAAGCTGAGGTGAGAGGATCACTTGAGCCCAGGAGCTTGGGGCTGCAGTTAGTTATAATTGCGCCACTGCACTCTAGCCTGGGTGACAGAGGAAGACCCTATTTATTTTAAAATAAACAAACCAGTAAATGTAAATAAGTATTTCTCTCAGTTCTGTGAGCCACTCTATCAAATAAATCAAAATCACAAAGGGGTCATGAGAACCCCAGCTTGAAGCCAGTCATTCAGAAATCCTGGAGACCCAGACATGCAATTGTTATGTGAAAGGAAGACAGTCTTGGGAACTAAGCCTTCAGCGTGTGAGATGGATGATGCTCTTTCTAGGTGCATAGTGCTCGAATTCAGTTAGAGCACACACCCAACTTGTGTCCCCTGCAGAACTGGTTGCTTACTTGATGTGAGGGGGAAAACTCTCACACCTTTGGTCCGTCACAGAAGTTTTCTGTATTGATTGTTGTGGTGTGATAGCAGAGGAAAAACAGTTTTTTGTTTTTTTGTTTTTTTGTTTTGTCACAGACCCTAATGACAAAAGACAGATTAACAAGAGAAAAACAGAAGTTTATTCACATGTATATTTCCTTTTTTTTTTTTTTTTTTTTTTTTTTGAGATGGAGTCTCGCTCTGTTGCCAGGCTGCAGTGCTGTGGTGTGATCTCAGCTCACGGCAACCTCCGACTCCCTGGTTCAAGTGATTCTCCTGCCTCAGCCTCCTGAGTGGCTGAGATTACAGGCACGCACCACCACGCCCAGCTAATTTTTGTATTTTTAGTAGAGACAGAGTTTCACCATGTTGGCCAGGATGGTCTCGATCTCCTGATCTCATGATCCACCTGCCTCAGCCACCATAGTGCTGGGATTACAGGCATGAGCCACTGCACCCGGCCAACATGCATATTTCATATATACATGGGTGATACCCAGGGAACCAGTAATTCTCAGAAGAGGCTTAGAACTCTGGCTTATATAGTATAGCAACATCAACAGAGCACAATACATTTATAGAGAAGCGTCTAGACAAAGAAAAGAGAGTTTCGAAGGGGTGCAAATCATGAGAAGGTAAATACATGAAGAGCAAATCTTCTTAGTAAAGTTACTGAGTAAAGTAACTGTCTTCTATTATCAAACTTTGTTGTCATCACCACCCTCTGCCACACACCCTAGGAGTGAAGGGACACCTTTGTAAAATTATGTCCTGCTCTGAGGTCTAGATAGAGAGTTCAGAGAGCCTTTCTTGCATCTGCTTCTTCTCAATGAACTTTAGCTCAAAGTAACCCTTATGTCAAAGGAGCAGATTTTATGGAGGTGTATTTTGCTGTCTTTTAGTGTGCCTTTGAAGGATTGCAATTGCTTAATTGCTTTGTAAAAGCCAATAAGGGCAGTGGTCCCCCACCAGTATGGCACCAGGAACCAGTTTCATGGAAGGCACTTTTTTTCACAGACCAGGAGAAAGGTGGGGATGGTTTCAGGATGAGCCAATGGTGGGGATGGTTTCAGGATGATCCAGTGGTGGGGGTGGTTTCAGGATGATCCAAGCACATTACATTTATTGTACCCTTTCTTTCTATTATTACTACATTGTAATATATGATGAAATAATTCTGCAACTCACCATAATGTAGAATCAAGGGGAGCCCTTGGCTTGTTTTTCTGGAATTAGATGGTGCCAGCTGGGGGTGATGGGAGACAGTGGCAGATCATCAGGCATTAGACTCTCACAAGGAGTGCCATTACCTAGATTCCTTGTATGCACAGTTCACAATGGGGTTCACACTCTTATGAGAATTTAATGCCACCCTTGATCTGACAGGAGGCGGAGCTCAGGTGGTAATGCAAGCAATGGGGAGTGGCTGTAAATAACAAATGAAACTTTGCTCCCGCCCACTGCTCACCTTCTGATGTGTGGGCAGCTCCTGACAGGCCATGGACTGGGACATGGCCTGGGGTCTGGGGACTCCTGAGTAAGGGAATGAGTTTATTAGCAAGATACAGGTTACAATTTTCCTGACTCCTCTCTTCTAGGAAGCCCTTCTTCCCATCCAAAGCAGATGAAAGTAATCAGAATTATCAAATTATTTTATAGCTATTTGATTTTTATGTAAAGTCTTAACCCTAAACCTTGGCGTCCATGACATGGAGACCTGTATCTTAATCTACCCTTATTTTTTGCAGCACAGTGATGAGCACAGAATAATTACTTAAAATGTGTATTTAATAGATTCAGTAATTAAATGTGTAGATGTATGGCCACTCTGTTTTCGATAAGTGAGAAGTGTCTTGTCTTTCCCATAAAATGAATTCTTGTCGGCCCAAAGAGTAGTTACACTATGATTCAGATGGCAGATGTATATAGTAGCAAACATTAAATAGAAGAAAACAGCCATGGCTCTAGTAGAGAAACCTTGAAGTGTAATTCAAGAGCACTAACTAAATGTGTTGTAGCAGAGATGAGCATGTCAATAGATATTATTGGAAAGCTGCTGCTGTTTGCTGTTTACCCAGGATGTCTGCACAGTTGGGCTCCTAGTATCAGTGAAAACTGAGTTAACACACAAAAAATGCTCATTGAATTCTTCAAAAAATTGTGAAACATTACTACTTAATGAATTTTGAGAACAGTGAGTCAAAATGGAAAGCCATATTACAAGCATAACACACAGAGGGAAAATATGTAACCATTTTCTTTCTGTACCATATTTCTGAATGTGTGAATAGTTATACACTGTCTTATAATGGAATTATTAAATTGGGTTACTTTATTTTTGAGTGAAATCCTTAAGATCAATTAGTAGTTTCTGTAGGAAAATAAGAGCAGGAATCACAATGTGTTGGATTCAACAAGTATTTACAACATAAAACTTGTGAGTTCAAGCTCAATGCCACACATTTTAAAATGATTCAGGTCTGAATAAGGTATGAGTTTTTGTACTATAAAAAGATAATTATCAAGTTGATTCAAAGACAGTCATTAATTCTTACATAATTAAATATGAAAGGCTGTATTTTCTTGAACTTTCCTGAATTTCCATTTTCTCATAATGATTTTTCCTTGCACCTATGTGGAAATTTCCATTTAGCGCTTAGTTAAACCTTAGTTACAGGGAAATAACAACCAGTAGCGCTCCCAAAATCAGGCTCAGGCCTCTAATCCCAGCACTTTGGCAGGCCGAGGCAGGCGGATCATGAGGTCAGGAGATCGAGACCATCTTGGCTAACACGGTGAAACCCCGTCTCTACTAAAAATACAAAAAAATTAGCCGGGCGTGGTGGCGGGCGCCTGTAGTCCCAGCTACTTGGGAGGCTAAGGCAGGAGAATGGCGTGAACCTGGGAGGCGGAGCTTGCAGTGAGCCGAGATCGTGCCACTGCTCTCCAGCCTGGGCGACAGAACGAAACTCCCTCTCAAAAAAAAAAAAAAAAGAAAAAGAAAAAAGAAAAAAAAGAAAAAGCACGTGGCAGTGTGCATGAAACGTTGCTGGGGTTTCTGTTCAGTTTTCTGTGACTGCTCCTCAAAGTAGAGGTCCATCTACTCAAAGCCCTGTAAATACATTTTTATCTGTATTCTGTTTGAAGTAGTTTCTTTGAGAAGTACATCCCTCTTGCATTTCAGAAAAAAAAGAAAAAGAAAACAAAACTTTGATTCTTGCTAAACTATTTAAGAAATCACTGCATTTACTTCAGCTAGCATTAAAATTTTAAATTCAAGATTTTTTTGTGATTTTAAAATAACTCACAGAAGAAAACAACTATTGCATTCTTTAGGGAGGGTCATTTTGAAATCCAAATTACAGAGCAAACAGCAAATTTAAAATATACTTTATTGCTAGTCTTTTTTATGAACAAATTTTTAATACCATAAAATTAGGAAATGTGAATTGTTTACCTGTGTGTTTTCAAACTTTAAATTCTTCAGTTGCATTTTCATAAAAACACATTTGCCAGTGTTCTGTGGAATTGCATTTTTATTTATTTTTGGTGATATGTTAAAAATGAAATCAGTTCTTTCTCGTCTTGCATTTGGTTTTCATATAGCAACAATACAAGAATCATTGTTAAAGTAAAATATAGCAATGCAGTTTATAATTTCACTAGAAGAATCATGTCAATCAATAAAACACAGGGAATGTGAAATGCTTCTTTAACTAAATTAATCAGAGCTACAATTTGGTGTTCAATAATCTCTTAGGGATTACATAAACTTTTAAAATTTGTTAGCATTCTGAATACAATTCCTTACTATTCAATGATGCAATCTAGGTAACCATCATTTTTACTGAATAATTATTTTATCTAGATTTTGAAATTAAACAAATTAAAGTAAGGAATAATTAGTATGTTGGTTTCTTAAAGGGAGAAACAAGAGTAGCAATACAATTTGTTTTCACTAATCAGATAAATATATACTCAAAAATGCAAATAGTATGTAAAAATATATATTTATCTCCACCATAATTGAGAAATGCCGAGTATAATAGTAAAATGTATTTAAAAATATTTTTGAGAAAAATTAATTTTAAAACATAATCCAGTCTAAGAAAAACGTTTAATTTTTAGTAAATCACAAAAAATACTATTACTAATATAATAGATAAGTTTACTTTTTATTATATTATGTAGTTTAGAATTTATCTTTTTTTTTTTTTAATTTTTAAAGACAAGGTGTCATTCTGTCACCCAGGCTGGAGTGCAGTGATGTGATCATAGTTCCTGCAGCCTTGACTCTCTGGGCTCAAGGAATCTTCCTGTCTCAGCCCCCAAGTAGCTGGGACTATATGCATGTGCCATCATGCCAGGCTAATTTTTAATTTTTTTTTTTTTTTTTTTTTAGAGATAGAGTCTCACTGTGTTTCCCAGGCTGATTTTGAGCTTCTGGCCTCAAGCAGTTCTCCTATCTTAGCTTTTCAAAGTGCTAAGATTACAGGTGTGAGCTACAATTCCTGACCTGGAATTTAACACATTTTGACCATTTCTTCTGACCTCCTGGGTTGCTTCTCTTTTGTTCTCTCTCTTTCTCTTCTTTCCTCTCTCTCTCATACACACACACACACACACACACACACACACACATACACACACACAATATAATCCAGAAAGTTTTTGTTGCATCCTTTTAAAATGTTATTACTGTATTTTTTTAAATGATTCCTTTTTAGATGATACTAACCCATAAAATTTTATAAGGTTTTTATTCTAAACATTTTCATGTTTATGAAATGAGTTATTACTTATACTCTGTCTTTCCAAAATACCTTGTTTTTTATTCTAATGTATTTTGCCTTTTCTTAAAGGATAAATTATTTAAACAAAATATTTTATATTCTTCAGTTCACTGATAATTTATCAGTTTTGAAAAAAAGCATTGTAAAATAAAAAGGAATATACTAAAATATCCACTCACTTGACTTTTTATTCTGTATAATTATTTTATCATCCAACTTAAATTCAAAGTTAACAATTAAAAAATAAGCGAAATTTTAGTTTTAGTTATCTCACGGTATTTAAAAATACAGAGATAGAAAAAGAATGACAATGTAATAAAATGTTTTAATTCTTGTTTTATATGCATTCATTTTTAATTCCAGAGTTTGGCAGATTTTTGTGATTAACGTTTTCATGATGCGTGTTATTTTGTAGGTGCCTAGTTTCAATTTCCACCTGAAATATGACACCATTCAACAATGTCATTTTAGAGAAGATTAAGTATCCTGGTATGTGACACAGTGAACTCGATTTTTAAATTATGCACCTTGAAATAATGAAAACAAAATAAAATGGAAGCTCTATTTGTCAGGAGCCTGCTATCTGGTATGTAAATCATTTACAGCACTTGTCCTTTTTTTCTCGCTGCTCATTTTTCCAAACTAACTTGAGTACTTTACTACATTTAGCTATTTCTTAACTTCTCTGTGTAGATGTTTAGTGAAGAGGCAGAACACAACTAAATACAACTGGAAAAATTTAGCTAATTTTTATTTATATACCTACTTGGTTCACTTGTCCCAGATACTAAGAAAAAAAAAAAACAACCTTGAGATTTCAGGAGGCAGAAATTACCAAAATCATATTTTTGTCTTCATAGTGCTTTATTTGAATTAATTTTGTGGCCCTAAACTTAAGTCAGATATGGTTTCCCTGAGGATCTTCCCAAAGATAGAAGAGTTTTTTTGCAGTTGGTGCTGGTAGTAGCTGTGGCGGTGAAGAGAATTGCCTGAATAAAAGAAGTAACTTGAACTTACAGGAATAATTGAGCAATGATTTATAGGACTTTGACTGGGATAGTTCTCCTTTATGACATGGATCTTAGGACTATAAAAATAGTGGCACCCTTACTTTTGAGAGTGTTCTGGCCTAGGTGGTCAGTTTTATGCACACTTTGTAAAAACTGAACGGTTATACAAATATGAAACTAAGCAAAGTTTTATATTTGTGTAACCGTTCAGTTTTTACAAGGCTGTTTTAATTTTGCCATCATATTCCATTACTGTATTAGGAATATTATGATGCAGGAAGAAAAATAATTGTTATTCTAAGTTCACCCACAAAAATATTGTATGAAAATATTAGGCACCTGTTTTATGTGCCTCAGTTAACTGAAGTAATGAATCCAACCAAGGTCTTTTATTCCAATTTTGTTGTCCTTTCCATTATAAAATACTGTGATAGGTCAACTCCCCCAAATATCACCAGATAGCTTGTTAATATAATAAAATACATTTATTGGAACTCATTGTCATAACAGAAAATACCATCTTAACAAAATTTCAGCAGTCTCTCAGAAAAGGAAACACAAAAGAAAGATAATTATAAGGTTTTAAAGTCTGGGTCAAGTGGTTTAAGGTATGTATATCTAACAAGGTGTTGAATTGGCTTAGATTTGACGATCAATGTTCACTACATAAATGTGTAGGATTGGTGGGCACAGTGAGGTTAGCATCTCGAAGTGAATCTTGATAAATGATTGTTGGATATGTTTGCTGTTTCCTCAGGGGAGCAGACTCTTGTCTAAGATAATTTGATCTCCAGGAATTTCCCGAAGCAAACAGTGAAGTTATTAATTTTTGTATCATCTTACCTTAACTGATAACTGTTTCATGACTGCAAAATGTTGGTTCAGGTGCTTTCAATGCTTAGCTTCTCCTTACGGTCGTTCATCACTCATTCTGAAGGATTCAGCATGGTCATCTGTGGACTTTACTACTTCAGAGCTGTACTGTTCTTTGAAGAGTAACAACGCATATTATGTTTCTGATGGTGGCGATTTCAACTGCTGTATACTTCAGATTTGCCTGTTTTTGTTGGATGATCTTTTGTTGGATCATTTGATGCGAGAACAGCTTGCAACAACATTTCAAACTCCAAAAGTCATATATTTTAACACCATAAGAAATAGGTTTTCTAGAATTTATAGTCCACTTCTAAACCAGAATCTAAAGAGTGCTTGAAAAGAACAGATCCCATTCTTTAGAGTTCATGAAAAAAAAGGGGGGTGTCAATCATGTTACTGAATTTAATGCTTTATTTGCTTCCCAGTTTTCTTAGAAATATAAATATCTCAAAAAGTATATAGAAATTTAAGTGTGTTCTTCTCATAAAATAGTG
This sequence comes from Homo sapiens, assembly GCF_000001405.40. Classification (NCBI taxonomy): domain Eukaryota; kingdom Metazoa; phylum Chordata; class Mammalia; order Primates; family Hominidae; genus Homo; species Homo sapiens. Next base: position 23,162,519 of record NC_000005.10, on the reverse strand, counting down.
TATGCTCTTTCTTTAGAGGCCCGTATTATGTTTAAGGTTCACCATTAATTTTTCAAAAAGCGAAGAGAAAGGTTCAGTCTCAACTACATTAGGATTTACTAATGGATGCTGTCTAAAGAAGATAAGAAGAGTATCCCTAAAGCGCCTAATAGACTATTCTTTCTTTGCTTGCAGGACTATATTAGGGTCTACTCTACTCACGAAAGGAAGATATTGGAAATAGCCTTCAAAAGATTTTGTCCAAGTTCTACATATTTTCCAAACCCCCTTGTTTCTTATGCAAATCCAGCTTTCTTAAATCATTCTCGAGGTCTCATAATTCTTCATTTTCTTCCAACTGTTCTGTGTTTAAGGATCCTGATAACATATGGACCAATTGATATAGACTTAAGAATAATAGATTATATATTGTTAAATGTATTCTAAATCCCTCTGTTAATCTTTTTTTTCTCTATCTTTTCTAGGCTTTGGAAAGTCCTTGATAATCGTTCTCAGCACAGAAGGAGACCAGCTCTTAATATCAACCTTGCCCTATTGAGAAAGGAATTTACCCTTAAGAGGTAAATTAGCTGTGTAAGTGTTTGGGTAGCCATAAAAAAGGAAAGTAGGCCAGGAAGAGAGTAACAGCTAGGGGTACCATTAAAGTGTAGGTTGGGGGAAGAGAAACAGTAGTGTAATGGCCATTAGATTCAAATTGTGCTTGGAGTATCTAACATAAAGACAGTTTTAACTTTTTTACATTTATATTTACCTTTGTCAATAAAATCATTGTATAATCTTAATTTATTTTGTAAACTTCCTTTTAATTCCACTTCCCCCAATTCAGACCATTAAATGCTTCTGTCATTTTTCTTTGATTTCTAAAGTACCTCTTGAATGAACAATTTTGTTCATAATAAAAGATCTTCAAAGTGGCAATTGTAATGTTAAATTACCATTATTATTATCATTATCATTATTATTATCATTATTATCATTATTATTAAAAATTGTAACATTTAGATGATATTTCTAATAACTAGGATTATAATGTAAATACACGTAATTAGTAGGTGTCTGGCACAGAGAGGATAGACTTAGATTTATAATAATATGACATCATTAAAACTACACCAATCAGTAATATTGGTAGTTAACAGTAGTGCTTGATTGCACAGTCTCTGACTTATGGTTTCATTGATAAGTTTTCAACAATACCATGGGTTTATTGGGATGTAACCCCATCATAAATTTAGGAGCATCTGGACTTATGATGGTTCAAATTATGAATTTTTATTTTTACAACGGGTTTTGGGGGGTAATAAATACATTTTCAACTTCTGATATTTCTTATTTATAATAAGTTTATCAGGACATAAGCACATTCTCAATTAGAGAAGCATCTGTACTAGTTTGGATTGTCTTAACAAAGTACCATAGAGTAGGTGACTTAAACAACAGAAATTTAATTTTGTATAATTCTGGAGTCTATAAGTCTGAGATGAAGGTGTCAGCAAGGTTGGTTTCTTCTTAGGTCTCTCTCCTTGGCTTATTGATAGCCATCTTCTTCCTGTGCCTTCACATAGTATTTCACTCTGTATATCTGTGTCCTCATCTTTCTTCATATCAGGATATCCTAATCTTTCTTCTTATTGGGATACCACGTGTATCAGATTAGGACTCATCCTCACGGCCTTTCTGATCCTTAATGACCTCTTTAAATATTCTATTTCCAAATACAGTCACATTCTAAGGTACTATATGTTAGGACATCAATATGAATTTTGGAGAGGGGAACAATTCAGCCCATAATATCGATATATAAGCTATTACTTCAGGTGAACAGATTGTTATTTTACATAAATTGGTTTGCTGGAATTTTCTGAAGCAAATAGTCGTGCTTTACAGTCTTATATTTCCTAGGAAAGTGTTGATGTGACACAGGTATTCAACTTTCTAATTACTTCATGTTTTTAATTTAGTGAGTTGTCTCTGCTATTACCAGTCCAGGATTTATCCCTGCCTTCACACAGTGCGAATTTAAAGAAGTTACTTAACCTTTATAAAGCTCCTCTTTCAAGACATTACCAGTAGCTACTTCATGAAATTCTTGTGAGATGTAAGAAAATAATACAAAATTAGCCAGGTGTGATGGCACACGCCTGTAATCCCAGCTACTCAGGAAGCTGAGGCAGGAGAATCGCTTGAACCTGGGAGGCAGAGGTTGTGGTGAGCTGAGATCATGCCATTGCACTCCAGCCTTGGCAACAAGAGCAAAACTTCATCTCAAAAAAAAAAAAAGCCACGAAAATGTATGCAAATCTTTTAACAACGTGTCCCAGTAAATGTGAGCTAGGAGGGTGATGATGACGATGATGACGATGATGACGATGCAAGGGCTACAGAATTATATATTTTAGAGTTGAGTTTCAAAGAGAAAGTAACACCTGGAGTCTTTGAGACCAGAGGTTGCTTTTTTTTTTTTTTTTTGTAAGAGTAAAGGATAATAAAAAGGAGTCTTACCTATAATGTGATATGGTGAAACCTCAAGTGTTTCAGAAACTATTAAGTGAGCATTAATTATGTGGAAAATTTTTATTTTCTTTAATTCTTAAATAAACCAGTAAAACTGATCATTTTTACTTTAGCTGTTGAAGAGAGCAAAGATCATCTTGTAGCCATCAAGCAGATCATCCAGAGGTAAAACTCCTTATGTGAGGAATTCAGAAGTAATTAGACTTCTCTATTATCTAAAGCAGGCTTCAGGTACTAGGCTTCTTTCCCCAGAATTTATAAGTAGAATTTCTATACATCTACAGAATGCATGCATATCAAAACTGATTGTGTAACTCTTGCTAACATTAAGGCACCAAATTGTCTACAAATGTAATCATTTATCATGACCTAAATGGCAACTATGGTCCAAATTACCCTTCAGCTCCTGCTTGAAGGTCCATAAATACCTCTAAGGAAAAAATCCACCCTGGTGCTCTCAGTCCTGTCTTGCTAAGGCTCCCTGCTGCACTCTTCTGCAGCATTCTTTCTTTCTAAAGAAACTTTTCTTTTTTCAAACCTATGCTGTTGGTAAATTCTTCTTACCAACTCACGAGTTGGCCACTTTCTGATGCTGGGACTCTGACACCTCACCCAGCAGCTACAAGCAAAAAAGAAAAATAAAAAGACTCAGATGCTATTTAATGTGTTCAAGTGTATTCAGACAATGAGTGAAAGGGTCAGAAATTGAACCTAGACCTGTCTGATTTAAAAACTCATGTTTTTAGGCAGTATTTTATTTAATCACTAAGTTAGCAAATATTAGAAAAGAAGACACAGTAATAAACTCTTTTTTTATCTCTTGAACGTATATTTCCTTTTTTATTAGAATATATTTGGACTTATTTCAACTAGATAAGTAGCCACAAGAGAATCACCCAGATAAAAGTTTGACTGCCTGATTATGCACACATGCAACATGTCGTAACTCTGAGAATTTGGTCACCATTTCAAAGATGAGATTTGACATGGCATAGTAGCTGAGGGAATAAAAATCCTTAACACTATGGAATAAACTCCCATTCTCTTTAGGTGCCTGGGGGAGATGCATTTATAATTGATTGCTCAAGTTCCAGCTGTTCTCTGAACTGTCATTGAAGTTATGAATTATTTGCTGAATCTAATATGTGGATAACAGTTAAATCAGCACAGTGAGTTTATTTATCTTTTGCATAATCAGTTTTATAAACATGCTTGTCCAAACAAAAGATACTTAATTATCAAAGAAATCAGTCTAAATTTTTTGATAAAAATAGTACAAAATAAACACACATGTGTAAACACAAACACATACACACACAAATACACTCAGAATAACTCATTATGGAATAGATGTCAAGGCAGCTTCACAAAATTTTCAAAGATTTCTGTTTTGAAGATCCCTGTAAACATCTTTGAGACTATTTTCTTGAACTGGCTTCCTTCATTAGGATTCATTGTTTGAATCCATTTGCTTGAATTACAAAGTAAGGCTTTGTGTGCCCAACTGACTAGCGCAGTGTTTGCCAACTTTCCTTGATAAGAAATCCTGAGGCATTCCTTATATGACTTCTTTTAGAAAAGTACTTCTCACCTTTAATGAGCATGTGAGTCACCTGAGAATCTTTTGAATATTCAGTAGGTTTGAAGTCAGAGATGAGATTCTGTAGCCCTCAGAAGCTCACAGCTGATGCTAATGCTGCTGGTCCAAGAACTATTCTCTGAGTGGCATGGGTGTGGAGCCACACCATCCAATAACCTAGCCACTAGTGACGGGCAGTTATGGGACACTTGAAATGTGACTAGTCAGAAGAGAGATGTGCTGTGAGTCTAAAAGAGACAGCGGATTTTGAAACTTACTAAACAAATAATAAAAAATATATCAACAAAATGTTTTTTATCATGGTTACATGTTGAATAAATGATGTTTTGGATATATTGGATTACGTGAAATATATTCTTAAAATTCATATGATCTGTTTCTTTTTATGTATTTGAGTGAATGCTAAGTTTTTGAATGAATATTTGTCTTGTGTTATGATTCTATCACACAGCACTGGTCTCATAGAGGGTCAAGTCTGTGATGTAATTCATTTAAACTGATATGGGGTCATATGATTGTCACACTTTATGACTCATGCATATTAATAACACTAATGTATCAATTTTCCCCACAGGATTGTGAACTTTTGAATGCATGACTCTTCACCCTTGCATCACCAGCAATTAGTAGGGTGACCAGCAAATAAAAGGTTCTTGTGTTGGTTAGATATTAACAACAAATCATTTTGAAGGAATAGTTATACTGTGATCAATAGAATCAGGGATGCAATGAAGAATAAATGTAATTTCTGGAACATTAGTGATATGGTTTGGATTTGTGTCTCCATCCAAATCTGATGTCGAATTGTAATCCCCAATGCTGTAGGAAGGGCCTGGTGGGAGGTGATTGGATGATGGGCACAGATATTCCCCTTGCTGTTCTCATGATAGTGAGTGAGTTCTCATGAGATCTTGTTGTTTAAAAGTGTGTAGCATCTCCCCTAGCTCTCTCTCCTGCTCTGAACATGTAACACATGCCTGTTTCCCCTTCGCCTTCCACCATGATTGTAAGTTTCCTGGGGCCTGCCCAGTCATGCTTCCTGGAAAGCCTGAGGAACTGTGAGTCAATTAAACCTCTCTTCTTTATAAATTGCTAATCTCAGGTGGTTCTTTGTAGCAATGAGAGAATGAACTAATACAATTAGATTTTCTGAATTTAATATTGGCTAACAAGAACTTTCTAAAAACCCATTAATGCTTCCTTTCTTCTGGTAAGAAAATATTCCCTATATACTATAGAGAATGTGTGGAGTCATGTCATAACCCCTGCTCAAATATATGATTATCTTACCTCAAACCTAAGAAATGATAAAATGCAGCTTGTAGGAGTTCCATACAAGAGAGCTTGAGATGATAAAATGTCTTGTAATTCTCAGTTACGAATGACTCCACTGAAATGGAAAAGTTTACTTTCAACAAAGTAATAGTCTTCAGACACACAGGAACATTTTCACTACTGTAATCTGTCACAGAATATACTGTATTATCAGGATCTATGCAGCATACAATGGAGCATGAGTTTATGTGCACACAGGTACATAAAACATCCACTGTTCAGGGGTACAAAGGTGAGATACCTTTTCACACCCATTGTAAGGGCCATCAAAGGCACATAGGTACGTATAACAGACTATGCAGAGGTGCAAAGGTGTGATACCTTTTCACACCCATCATAAGGTCCAGGACTCACACTCCTGTAACGAAAGACAGGTCAACAAGGGAAAAGCATAACAAATGGATTTAATCAAAGTTTGATGTGACATGACAGCCTTCAGAAATGAAGACCCACAGACAAAGGGAAAGCAGTTTTTATGCCTAAGTTCAATGAATCCATGTAGAAATGTGACAGAGATGTCAGTAATACGGTATTTTGGTTTTCCCCACATATGAGGCAATAGAAGGTATTGTTTATGATCAAGGTACCCAGAATCAAAATGCCTTATGCAATTTACTGTTCTCTGTTTATCAGTTGTCCCATCTCTAGAATGCAGATAATTGTATTTTTCTCAGAGGGTTGTTACAAGGAAAAAATGAGTTAAAACATGTCAACTATAAAGAACAGTTTGGCATATAGTAAGTACCTGATAAATGTTGCCATTATTAGATACTGAAATGTTCCGAATTATGTCCTGAACTAGCAACTGAGATAAAGAATTTAATAGCCCCAAAGCAAAATCTACACTGTAATTTAAATATAAGAGATATGCATTATTTAGTTCTTACTATATTTCCACTGAGGAGAAAATTTAAGGATAATTCATATGTTCTATCATCTGCAATCAAATATCACCATAATATTTTAAAATTCCATTTGAAAATACTTCTCTTCTAAATTAGAGAAAATCTTTGTGTTTCTCATAGTTCAAGATAAAACATAGGATTTTTTACCTTATTTTCTCTGACAAAATTGAAAAAATTATTATATGTCTGTAGCACCTACTTTATCCAAATTTAGAAATATATTACCTTTGGATCTTTTGAAGGTATATTATATTCCTTTCAGTTTGAGTCTCAATATTATTCAATATACAAAATTTCCAATGCAATCTTGAAATTATAGGTCATGCATGATTTATGTGGCTGGATATATTAGCACTTTGATAATCCATTTTCCACCAGTGCAACATAATTGCTTTGTCTCAATATTCTAGCCATCCCAGTGTGCAATGCATTCGGTTATATTCCATATTTGAAAATTACGAAAATATATTTTGGAGGGATGGAGAGATGACTAAATGTGATGTCATAACTTGAGAAGGGATCTTAGAATAAGAGAAGGACATTAGGTAAAAACAAAGGAAGTTCTAATAACATATGGACTTTAGTAATACTAAATCAACATTAGTTCATTAATTATAACAATTGTACTAAAGTTACGTAACATGTTAACAATTGAAGAAAAACTGGGGGACTTGGTGTATAAGTCTGTTCTCATGCTGCTAATAAAGACATACCTGAGACTGGGTAATTTATAATGAAAAGAGGTTTAATCGACTCGCAGTTTCTTATGCCTGGGAAGGCCCCGGGAAACTTACAATCATGGCAGAAGGGGAAGCAAACACATCCTTCTTCACATAGTGGCAGGGGAGAGAATAAGAGCCAAGTGAAGGGGGAAGCCCCTTATAAAACCATCAGATCTCTTGAGAACTCACTCACTATCACAAGAACAGCACAGAGGTAACCACCCCCATGATTCAATTACCTCCCACCAGGTTCCTCCCATGACACGTGGGGATCATTACAATTCAAGGTGAAATTTGGGTGAGGACACAGCCAAACTATATCACTTGCTACACAGGAACTTTCTTTAATATTACTGCAACTTTTCTGTCAATCTAAAAGTAATATAGAAGTGTTTATTAACTGCCAATATATACATTTGGAGCTTTATGAAATTTCTAATCCTAAAATTATTTATTCCCCCCAACCCCCCAGGCTCTTCTGTCCTTCACTGTCTTTTTATTATTCAATGTGAAATTATTTCTATGAAATCAGAATTATGAAATCCTAACAGAAGCCTATATTGCATATATGTACTTCTGAGTTAGAGCCTAAAACTTTCAAATATAAGAATAATATTATCTTTCAATAAATATGCAAACATGTTTTTGACTAAAAAGCATATCTGATTATTTACACTGTTCTCAAATATGGATGATACTTGTAATGTTAAGAAAATAAAATTCTGAAATAGAACTCTGTACATCTCTACAAATATTTCTAAATCAATATAAATGGCTACATGAATAATAAAGGTCTCTCCCTGAATAGAAAAATAGCATCTAATTATCATTTTCCTCCACTTGCTTGCCTTTCTGGGACAGATATTTATTTAAGTAGAAAATATGAATAAAGAATTCCTATCATGAACCTTGTAAAAGCTACTTCATAAAATTTAAATAATTATTTTTACTTCATTTAATAAATGTAGTTACCCAATTTACTGTTTGTTTTCCTTTTAAAAATTACTTTATTAAAGTATACTAATTTGAGGTTTTAGATTACTTTTGGGCATGGTTTTGAAACATGAGTAAATTTTGATTCAGAATGAGGTCAAACAAACGCACTTTGCAAATGTTTTGTTTTATAACTGCTTTAGTGTCTGCTTCTTTACTCAGACACTCTAGTGTTCAACCCACACTCCTAGTGTGACTCTAAGAGGGAGGAGGGAAGCAGTGGAAATTAGTGTATTTTAAGGGAATTTCTGCTCCAGAGACTTCAGGCTTCTCAGATCCTGACCTCCTCTCATACAGATGATATGCAGGGTTTCCAGAGTTAGTGTTGCCTGGATTATATACTCCTATGTATATTATTCTTCTTACATGGAGTTTTCATCTCTTTTGCCTGATTTCTTAGATTCAGACTGTGTTTCCAGACATTATACTAATATAATCTCATCCCTTACAGTTCCTGCCATCTCTCTGAAAATCTTGATCTTAGTGCATTATTTTTCTTAATCTAAAAAAAAATGATAATAGCCACAAAAAAAATATCCTAGAAAGTAAATCACATCTGAAATACCATGTTTCTGAGTTTTATAGCACAATTATCAGTTACTTTTTAAGGGTGAATGGAGGCCTGTAATCCTAACACTTTGGGAGGCTGAGGCAGGTGGATCAATTGAACCCTGGAGTCCAGACTAGCCTGGGTGAAATGGCAAAATCCCTTCTCTACAAAAAATACAAAAATTAGCCAGATGTGGTGGCAGGTGCCTATAGTCCCAGCTACTCGGGAAGCTGAGATGGGAGGATCACCTGAGCCTGGAAGGTCGAGGCTGTGGTGAATCATGATTGTGCCACTGAACTCCAGCCTATATGACAGAGTGAGATCCTGTCTCAAAAATAATTATAAATATAAAAATAAATAAAAAAGAAGTAAGTGGATTAGTTTTAATCTTTTGATTTTGGGATTTAGATTACTTTTGGGCTTTTGGAAAAAGCCCAAATTTTATCCATCTGATATTGACGACTCTAGCACATACTACCATTTAGTAGCAAGATATCATTGCAGTTCAGTGTCTAAAACATAAAAAAAATACTTTAAAGTTATTAAAAGTCCTTATGTCTGCTAATTTTTATCTTTCATTATGGAGTTGCAGGGTCACAAATGACGTATATTTTCAAAAATGTTATGTTTTGTTTTTCATCATGAACTACAAAATGTTTCTTAATGAAATCAGAAACTGTTAGCCAAGTTTGAAACTCATAAAATGTGTGGGCCCTAGATCTTAATCATGAAAGTTAGATGTTACTTATGAAAGTCAAAATTAGACTCTATCTAGAAAGGGTCAGAGGGTTCAAGGAAGTCAGGACTAGTAGCTATGGGGGAAAGCATGAAGAGTGCAACAGAAGAGGCTCTGTATCTAGAGTTTTCTCTGGCTTGGCTGTTTTGGAGGAGTTACATGTATTAACATTAGCCTTCGAGTTCCAAGTCCTGTGGTTATACTGAAGTGAAATTATTACTCCATCATCTCTTCATCATGGCTTCAGTCCATCTATACTGACTCTTATTTTTCTTTTGTTTTCCTTTCAAGAAATCATCTTTCCTTCCAGAAACTTCCATAAGAGGGTAATTTGTATAATTACTTGCATCCTCAGAAAGTCAACAAGGGTTTCCGTCATGGTAAACTTTGTTCTTGTTTTGGCAACAAAGGGATAAAATACACCTAAGGCTGGAGCTCTGTAATTAGATAATTGATATGAATTAATATAATGTTTTAAAGTGGTACTTTTAAAATAAGTCATCTATGAGATTTTAAAAACAGACAATTAAATTTGTTATTGACTCATTTTTTTTCTTACTGAGATTTGTGAACAAAATAGAATTTTTGTATAAAAATTAGACTTAAAAATTAAAACTGGGACCAGCCTTCCATGAAAGTCTTAGGTCCTGAAACTCACTGGGGTTTTCCTGGGCAGAGACATTTCTCGTGTCTCTGTTGTTCACTGCTAGAAAATGAGCACACTTGTGTGGCTTCAGACCAGAGAGCTCCTGGAAGGCTGTGCTAGACCTCCCTGGATTCCTTTTGGACTCATCATTTTTCTGATGCTTTTGCTTTGTATCCTTTGCTGTGATAAACCTTTGCAGTGAGTTATTATCTACCCTCCTCAAAAAATCACAACAAAAACAAAAACTCTGTCTTTTCAATTTTTTCCAAAAGATGAAATGAAGGAAATATTGTAATGAAAAGCTAACATCTTCTTTTATTAAATTCCTTGCTACAGTTTTACATTTCAAAAGTTCTAAGTTAAGAAAAAGATTAACTAGCTATCAAAAATTGTCTTTTTAAAATAAAAAACTTACTTTTCTAATACAAAATTTAACTAGAGTTATTCACACCTGCCAATTTAAACATAGTACATATAACATGTAATTATGTTGAACTGGAGCACCAACAAAGCACATTTTACAATGCCGTTGCTGTGTTCAAATCCTAAAAATATGCTCATACCTTCTGTTTGAGATTTAGGGACCTCCCACCCCCCAGTAAAATTAACCAAACCCAAATCTGGTATTGGTTTATTTATGTTCCCACATAGAGAGAAAAGAACAAACCATGACATTTAAAGGAAATTCAGGAACACAAATTACATTCAAGAACACACCTCTTTGGTGCTAGAAACTGATCTGTGAGAAATGCACAATATTGTAACTGTTTTAAAACACAGTATTAGCTGTTTAAATAGTTCGTGCATTATCTACTTTGTGCTAGAAACATTTGGAAAATTCAGGCAAATAGTTACTTTGTCTATGGTCATTTGCAGTATAACACAGATGCACGAGCCAAAGAGTGGAATAAAAGAGAATGTAAGATAAGGTTCCTTCTCACAGGAATTTTAAATTATTGGTAGTGTTGACTGTTTGAATCCCATAAATACAACTAGAACAATGTATTGGTCAATGAAAAGCTGAGTTAATTTAACTTAACTCATAAGAGAAAATATCATTTTGGCAATTGTTCAAAAGAAGGAAGATAGTTAATTATCAGGTTTTGAAGTATGGACTTCATTGGTCTAAAGCAGCAGCCCCCAACCTTTTTGTCACCAGGGACTGGTTTCGTGGAAGACAATTTTTCACAAACCAGGGTAAGGGATGGTTTCAGAGTGATTCAAGTGCATTACAGTTAATGTGCATTTTATTTCTATTACTATTACATTCTAATATATAATGAAATAATTCTACAACTCACCATAATGCAGAATCAGTGGGAGCCCTGAGTTTGTTTTCCAACCAGATGGTCCCATGTGGGGATGATGGGAGGCAGTGACAGATCATCCGACATTAGATTATTATAAGGAGCGGGTAACATAGATCCTTGCACGCACAGTTCACACTAGGGTTTGCATTCCTAAGAAAATCTAATGCCACTGCTGCTCTGACAGGAGGCAGAGTTCAGGTGGTAATGTGAGTGATGGGGAGTGGCTGTTACAGATGAAGCTTCGCTCACCCTCTGCTTACCACCAGCTGTAGCAGGGTTTGGGGACCCCTGGTCTAAAGTGTATTTCTCAGAGAGAGTAAATAGCTGGAATAGGGCAAAGTTTACAGAACAGTAGTTTATGATCAGTAGACAAAGTGAGGCCAGGGTCTGAAACAAGTCCTTCTAGGCTAACAGTTGCCTTATAAGCAAGTAGTTTTCACAGAGAAGTTTAGTAATTTTTCTGGAGGAAAGAGTAGTTATTTTTTGGTTTATAGTCTTATCTTTCAGCACAATAATTTTCTGGAACAAACACTTAAGTCATATTATCATTAGTGGTTTAAGTTTTCAGTAGAGAGACAGAATTCAAAGAATAAAAATTATTTGTAACACTAGAAAATGCCAGGAGACTTTGACTCAAATGCAGTCATCCACAGATATTTATTGACCAGCTATTGCCTGCCACATGTTGTGTTATGTGCTATCTTTAATATGTGCACATTAGAGAGATGGCCCCTCACTTCACAGGCCATAAAATCTGGTATATAATGCAGGCAAATAAAAAGGCAGTTAGAGTGTGGTGTGGTAAGTGTGCTAGAGAACACGGATATGATGGAAGCACATAAGAAGAACACACAGTCAAGATGAGGCGTGTTCTCAGAAGGCTTCTTGAAACTAATGACTGGAATCAGATTTGTAACGGAATCCAGGGGACTTGATGTAAGGAACATAAGAAATGAGGACATAAGAAATATGAGGACAGAACTTTGGAGAATTCCAACATTTAGAATAGCAGGATTTATACATAGCTAAATCAATGATTGCTTTAAAATGAAAGCGTGGTTAAAATGCCCCTACACAGAAAATGTGCATGACTATATTGTTATGAACCAAATCTTTGTGTTCCCCAAAATTCATCTGTTGAAATCCTAACCCCCAATCAGATGGAATTAGAAGGTGGAGACTTTGAGAGGTAATTGGGTCAGAAGGGCAGGGCCCTCAGGCTGGGATTCGTGCCGTTAAAAGAAGACAAATGGGAAAATTTTTTTCTCTCTGTCTTTCTCTCTGCCACACGGGGAAACCAGGAGAAGGGCCCTCTCCAGAATCCAACCATGTTGATACCCTAATCTGTACCCTCCAGCCTCCAGAAATGTGAGAAATAAATGTTCATTTTTTAAGCCACCCAGTCTATGGGATAGCAGACAAAAGACATTTTGTTGTAGCAGACAAAAGACATAACCAAACATAGTAAATTAGAAATGACAAGCAAATGACTACGCTAAGACCTAAATATACATAGTAAATTAGAAATTCATTTAAATTATGTCTGCATGTTATAAAATCTATTGTGCATAAAATATATTTGTGTATAAAAATATATGTTTTATAACATGTAGAAATAATATAAATGATATGATAATATAAATATACATACACACACCCATATACATGTATATTTTGTTTTTAATAAAAGACAATTAATAAGATATAGAAAAAATCTAAATAGTACACATAAAAATAAATGTAATTCTGCTCAGATTCAAAAGTGACATGAAAGATACTGTTATTTAACCTTATTTTGAAGTTGATATTACTGAGAGGTCATTGATGTGGCAATGTGTGTAGCATTTTTCAAACCAACCAATTTATATTTTAAGTTTCGATGGCACTAAAAATATGAAAAATGCAAGTGACCCTTCTGTGATCTAGTGGACTAGATTGTAATTCAGGAATGTCAGGATTCTCTAAGACATTTTAAACTGAAGTCAGGTTGCATCTCCTTCTTTGTCCTCAATTCATTCGGGCTATGTTTAGGATGGGCTGCAGCTTCTATGCTATTTGCGTCACCATGGAAAACATTAAGAATATGCTTTCGTATTGTTAATTTTTTCTAAGAAATAACTGTGCAAAGAGTTTCTCAGCCTTTTATTCAGGTGATTAGAGATTTATTTTTGTGGAAAACAGACAAAGCTTTACTTTTGTCAACCCAAAGATGCAGGGATGCTTCTCCTAGCACTGAAAGATTCACATATTCATTCATGTATCTTCTTTTATTGCAGTTTGGTAGCTAGTTGCAAACTTTTACTTTTAAACAACATTCCATATTAGTGAGTTCAGGGCCTTCAATTAAACAAAAAATTACCTTATACACTTGGCCAAAATACATCTACTACCTACAAAGTCAGTCAAGCAATAAATAAACGTCTGTTTGGTTTAATTAGACTGAATTTGAGGTATAAATTTCTCTCACTCAAAAACAACTTTACTTAAAGAATAAACAGTTAATAATTCTACCCCTAGTTCAATCAAACGCTGGAAGACTCTTCATCTTCGAAATCACATGTCCATTGTAGAGAGCATGAATACAAATCCACTATCTAAAAACCTGCTTGAAAAAGTTATTTTTCTGTTATAGACGATGATTTTCATAACAGAAGATGAAACTTCTTTGGGGATTGTTGATGATCTCTTAGATGTAGGATGAATAAGTCATGTTTGGAGCTTCTAGCATCAAAGGTGTTCTATCTGTGAAGATTTTCTTTATTATTTTTAATCCAATTCCTTTTTTTCTTTTTTTTTTTACTTATTCTTGACAGAAAAACATGTCACCTTAGTAAGAAACATCTATGGTCTTTCAAGTGTTTAAAAGAAACTCAAAAATAGAAAAGTTTCTTTGATTCCATCAGTGTACTCATGGGGATGACAAGCCAAAGACTACTCTGAGAAAGTCCTAAACTTGCACCCACACCCACATGCATGCTGACTAGAAATGGCAGAGACTCTAATTACTGATTCTTAAGAACTTGCTCTAAAATATTAGTAGAAACATTAAAATTTGTGGATTAGGACTCAACAATTGTCTCGTCATGGAAAAAAAAATTGTTTTTATTTTTTCTTCTTTCTTTACACCCAAGACAACAAAGACATACAATTTCACCACATTGCCTCAAAATTGTGGTTATTTATTTTGCTTTCAATAATTTAGGTAATTGTTGGACTACAGAAAAAATTTGATCAGGATTGCAACAAAACTTCTTTCATAGTAAATTACGTATTGCATTAGATAGAGTAAAGCCAGAATAGTGTGTGAAGCCAAAGACAGTGACAAGAAACCGTCAGACGATGGTGACAGATGAGCAAAAAGAAGCATTGTCAACACCTACCAGACAGTCTATCAAAATACTTTCACGGAGTTTATCTTGACTGTATTTGAGATCTTCTTATAACATACTTCTGTAATCTGAAGAGTGTCAGCTGAAAGTGCTGTGGCTTGAGGCGTACAAAAGAGAAGACAGGAATCATGAAATACAGAAAATGTCCAAGATACTTGGTAGGAGATACAAGGAGCTTTACATGGTGAGGAAAACAGGGTGGTAGAAAGTTTAAACTGCCTCCTGGGGGTCAAATGATTCTCCCACCTCAGCTTCCGCAGCAGCTGGAATTACAGGCGCACACCACCACACTCAGTTCATTTTTATATTTTTAGTAGAGACAAGTTTTCACCATGTTGGCCAGACTGGTCTTGAACTCCTGACCTCAGGTGATCCACCCCCCCCTCGGCCTCCCAAAGTGCTGGGATTACAGGCGTGAGCCACTGCGCCCAATCAGAAAAAGTTTAAACTTTTGAAAGGAGAGAGAAGGCTGGGCCCGGTGGCACATGCCCATAATCCCAGCACTTTGAGAGACCGAGATGGGCGGATCACTTGAGGATAGGAGTTTGAGAGGAGCCTGGCCAACATGGCGAAACCCTGTCTCTGCTAAAAATACAAAAATAAGCTGCGCGTGGCAGTGGGCACCTGTAATCCCAGCTACTCCTGAGGCCGAGGCAGGAGAATCACTTGAGTCCAGGAGGCAAATGCTGCAGTAAGCCGAGATCATGCCAATGCACTCCAGCCTGGGGGACAGAGAGAAACTTTGTCTCAAAAAACAAACAAACAAACAAAAAAGGGCAAAAGAAAAAGACGAGACAGAATAGAGTATGTTTATTACAGAGAAGAAGCCAATTAATACATAGAGGACTAGAAAGAGTAATTGATTAATTATTAGAGGTGAAGATCCCTAAACAAGGTTAAAAATTGGATGATGGGGTGACGGGGCATGGTTTGAAACAGAAAATAGAAGCAGGGCCGGGCCAAGATGGCTGGCTAGAAGCAGCAGCCTTCCAGACTCCCATCGAAAAAATATAGTAAGGGTGTGAATCCTTCACTGGCCACCAAGGTATCCAGGTGCTCTCCTCAAAATCGACTGGAAGGCTGGCGTGACCCGCGGAGAGAAGGAAGGGCAGTGTGGTGCATCGGCCCACCTGATAGCCACACGGGGAAGGGGAACTCCCTCCCCGAGCCAAAGGAGGCAGTGACTGAGCTGCTACCCAGCAGGGGAAACTGTGCTTTTTTCCATGGAACTGTGTAACCCACAGATCAGAAGATCCCGCTAGCGAACCCAAGTCACCAGGGCTTAGTGTGCCAACTCCAGAAAGCACGGAATCTTACAGTCTCTCAGCGGGAACCTGCTTAAGCCTACCAAACTCCCAGGGGTAGGGGCGACGAGCACGGGCTGAGGTTGCCTGCTGTCCAAGACCTTCGAGCTCCTTGTGGAAGGGGCAGCAGCCAGCACTGGGACTCCCAACTGCCTAACACACTAAGCTCGCTGGGCGGGGGAAGGACGGCCCCCATTTCTGTAGCTCCAGGCTGCACTTTTCCCCTGCTGGAGCCAAGGAGGCTGGACATCTCAGTCCCAAGGCTTGTCCCCACAGCCCAACACACTAGCTATGGCAGTCTGAGGCCAGAGATCCTTTTTTGACCCTGACCCATCCTTCCTCAGTGGGTGGGGCATCCCTGCAGGATCTCCAGTAACTCTAGCCAGAGGCTCAGGGACAGAATTCAGATCTCTCTTGGCCTGAGCCCCTATGGAGAAGAGTGGCCACAGTCTCTGTGGACCAGCAGACTTAGCCTCTCCTCCTGGTAGGTCTGAGGAATCCAGGCAGTACAGACAAGTGGGTTTCCCCCCAGCGAAACACACCCTCTCCACCAAGGGACAAAGTGCTTTGTTAAATGGGTTCTGCTCCCCATGCCACCCAACTGGATAAGACTCTCCAACAGAGGTTGTTAGATGCCCTATACAGGAGCAATTCTACTGGCATCATGTTTGTGCCCTTTGAGGCCAGAGATCCCAGAAGAAGGAGAAGGCACCCATCTTTGCCGCTCTCCAGCCTCTTTGAGTGACACCTCCAGGCATGGGAGAGGATCAGATGAATAGGGCCTGAAGTGAACCCCCAGAAAACTGCAGCAGCCCTACAGAAGAGGAACCTGACTATTGAAAGAAAAACAAACAAGCAGAAGACAAAAACGATAGCATCAACAACAACAACAACAATGAAAGACCCCCACAAAAGCCTCATCCAAGGGTCAGCAGCCTCAAAGACCGAAACTAGACAAACTCACTAAGATAAGAAAGAATAAAAAAAATGCTGAAAACTCAAAAGGCCAGAATACCTCTTCTCCTACAAATGATTGCCACGTCTCTCCATCAAGGGCACAGAACTGGAAGGAGGATCAGATGAACAAATTGACAGAAGTAAGCTTCAGAAGATGGGTAATAAAACACTATGATGAGCTAAAGGAGTGTGTTCTAACCCAATGCAAAGAAGCTAAGAACCTTGATAAAAGGGTAGAGGAATTGCTAACTAGAATAAGCAGTTTAGAGAGGAACATAAATGACCTGATGGAGCTGGAAAACACAGCATGAGCATTTCGTGAAGCATACACAAATATCAACCGTTGAATCAGCCAAGCAAAAGAAACAATATCAGATTCTAAAGATGACCTTACTGAAATAAGACATGCAGAAAGAATAGAGAAAAAGGAATGAAAAGAAATTAACAAAGCCTACAAGAAATATGGGATTTCATAAAAAGACTGAACCTACAATTGATTGGGGTACCAGAAGAAGATGAGGAGAATGGAAAAAACACACTTCAGGATATTATCCAGGAGAATTTCCTCTACCTAGCAGGGCAGGCCAGCATGAAAATTCAGGAAATACAGAGAACACCATTAAGATACTCCATGAGAAGAACAACCCCAAGACACATAATCATCAGATTCTCCAAGATCGAAATGAAGGAAAAACTGTTAAGGGCAGCCAGAGAGAAAGGACAGATCACTTACCACAGGAGCCCATCAGACTAACAGCAGACCTCTCAGCAGAAACTCTACAAGCAAGAAGATATTGGAGACCAATATTCAACATTATTAAAGAACAGAATTTTCAACCCTGAATTTCATATTCAGCCAAACTAAGTTTCATAAGTGAAGGAAAAATGAAATCCTTTCCAGACAAGCAAATGCTGAGGGATTTTGTTACCACCAGGTGTGCCCTGCAAGAGCTCCTGTAAGGTTCACTAAATATGGAAAGAAAAAATAGTACCAGCCACTGCAAAAACACAACAAAACATAAAGACCATGACACTGTGAAGAAACTGCATCAACTAGCGTGCAAAATAACCAAAAGGCATCATGATGACAGGATCAAATTCACACACAACAGTACTAACCTTAAATGTAAATGGGTTAAATGCCTCAATTAAAAGACACAGACTGGCAATTTGGTTAGAGTCAAGACCCATCGATGTGCTGTACTCAGGAGACCCATCTTACATGCAAAGGCACACATAGGCTCAAAATAAAGGGATAGAAGAAAATATACCAAGCAAATGAAAGCAGAAAAAAGCAGCGGTTGCAATCCTAGTCTCTGACAAAACAGACGTTAAACCAACAAAGATCAAAAAAGACAAAGAAGGGCATTACATAATGGTAAAGGGAACAATTCAACAAGAAGAGCCAACTATTCTAAATATATATGTGCCCAATACAGGAGCACCCAGATTCATAAAACAAGTTCTTAGAGACCTACAAAGACTTAGACTCCCACATAATAATAGTGGGAGATTTTAACACTCCATTGTCATTATTAGACAGACCAACAAGACAGAAAATTAATAAGGATATTCAGGACTTGAACTCAGCTCTGGATCAAGTGTACCTAGTAGATGTCTACAGAACTCTTTACCCAAAATCAACAGAATATACATTCTTCTCAGTGCCACATGGCACTTATTTTCAAATTGACCACATAATTGGAATAAAACACTCCTCAGCAAATGCAAAAGAACTGAAGTCGTAGAAAACAGTCTCTCAGACCACAGTGCAATAAAATTAGAACTCAGGATAAAGAAACTCACTCAAAACCACACAATTTCATGAAAATTGAACAACCTGCTTCTGAATGACATCTAGATAAATAATGAAATTGAGGCTAAGATCAAGAAGTTCTTTGAAACCAATGAGAACAAAGAGACAATGTACTAGAATCTCTGGGACACAGCACAGGCAGTCTTAAGAGGAAAATTTGTAGCACTAAATGTCCATGCCAGAAAGCTAGAAAGATACTAAATTGACCCCCTAACATTCACAATCCTGAAGAGCTAGAGAGGGAAGAGCAAACATTTCCAAAAGTGAGCAGAAAACAAGAAATAACTAAGATTACAGAAGAATGATGGAGATAGAGACACTAAAAACTCTCCAAAAATCAATGAATCCAGGAGCTGTTTTTTTTGAAAAAATTAACAAGATAGACTACTAGACAAAGAAGAACAAAGAGAAGAATCAAATAGACCCAATAAAAGATGATAAAGGGGATATCACCACTGACCCTACAGAAATGCAAACTACTGTCAAAGAATACTACAAACACCTCTACACAAATACTCTAGAAAATATAGAAGAAATGGATGAATTCCTGGAGGCATACACCCTACCAAGACTGAAACAGGAAGTTGAATCCCTGAATAGACCAACAACAAGCTCTGAAATTGAGGCAGTGATTAATAGCATACAAACAAAACAAAACAAAACAAAAGCCCAGGACCAGATGGATTCACAGCTGAATTCTACCAGAAACACAAAGAGGAGCTGGTACCATTCCTTGTGAAATCATTCCAAACAATTGAAAAGGAGGGACTTCTCCCTAACTCATTTTATGAATCCAGCATCATCCTGATAACAAAACCGCGAAGATACACAACAACAAAAAAGAAAACTTCAGGCCAATATCCCTGATGAACATCAATGAGAAAATTCTCAATAAAATGAAATACTGGCAAGCCAAATCCAGCAGCACATCAAAAAACTTATCCACCACAGCTTTATCCCTGCAAGGCAAGGCTGGTTCAACATATGCAAACCAATAAATGTAATCCATCACATAAATAGAACCAAAGACAAAAACCACATGATTATCTCAATAGACGCAGAAAAAGCATTTGATAAAATTCAATATCCATTCACGTTAAAAACTCTCAATAAACTAGGTATTGAGGGAACATATCTCAAAATAATAAGACCTATTTATGACAAACCCACAACCAATATCATATTGAATGTGAAAAAGCTGAAAACATTCCCTTTGAAAATGGGTACAAGACAAGCGTGCCCTCTCTCACCACTCCTATTCAACACAGTATTGGAAGTTCTGGCCAGGACAATGAGGCAAGAGAAATAAATAAAAATATTCAAATAGGAAGAGAGGAAGTCAAGTTGTCTCTGTTTGCAAATGACATGATTTTATATTTAGAAAACCCAATCGTCTCGGCCCCAAAACTTCTTGAACTGATAAGCAATGTCAGCAAAGTCTCAGGATACAAAATCAATGTGCAAAAACACAAGCATACCTTTGCATCAACAATAGGCCAGCAGAGAGCCAGATCATGAATGAACTCCCACTCACAATTGCAACAAAAAGAATAAAATACCTAAGAGTACAGCAAACAAGGGATGTGAAGGACCTCTTTAAGGAGAACTACAAACCACTGTTCAAGGAAATAAGAGAGGATACAAACAAACAGAAAATCATTCCACCCTCATGGATAGGAAGAATCAATATATTGAAAATGGCCATACTGCCCAAAGTAATTTATGGATTCAATGCGATTCCCATGAAACTACTACTGAAATTTTTCATGGAATTGGAAAAACCTATTTTAAATTTTATGTGGAATCAAAGAAGACACTGTATAGCCAAGACAACCCTAAGCAAAAAGAATAAAGCTGGAGGCATCACTCTACCTGACTTCAAACTGTACTACAAGGCTATGGTAACCAAAACAGCGTGGTTCTGGTACCAAAACAGAAATATAGACCAATGGAGCAAAACAGAAGCCTCAGAAATAACATCACACATCTACGACCATCTGATGTTCGACAAACCTGACAAAAACAAGCAATAGAGAAAGATCTCCTATTCAGTAAATGGTGCTGAGAAAACTGGGTAGCTATATGCAGAAAACTGAAACTGGACCCCTTCCTTACACCTTATACAAAACTTAACTCAAGATGCACTAAAGACTTAAATGTAAAACCCAAAACCATAAAAACCCTAGAAGAAAACCCAGCCAATACCATTCAGGACATAGGCATGAGCAAACACTTCATGACAAAAACGGCAAAAGCAATTGCAACAAAAGCCAAATTGACAGATGGGTTCTAATTAAACTAAAGAGCCTCTGCACAGCAAAAGGAACTATCATCAGTGTGAACAGGCAACCTAAAGAATGGGAGAACATTTTTGCAATCTACCCATCTGACAAAGGTCTAATATCCAGAATTTAGAAGGAACTTAAACATATTTACAAGAAAAATCAAACAACCCTATCAATAAGTGGGCAAAGGATATGAACAGACACTCCTTAAAAGAAGCATTTACACCTCCAACAAACATATGAAAAAAAGCTCAACAACACGGATCCTCAGAAAAATGCAAATCAAAACCACAATGAGATACCATCTCTTGCCAGTCAGAATGGCGATTATTTTTAAACGTCAAGAAACAATAGATGCTGGTGAGGCTGTGGAGAAATAAGAACGCTTTTACACTGTTAGTGGGAATGTAAATTAGTTCAACCATTGTGGAAGACAGTATGGCAATTCCTTATGGATCTAGAACCAGAAATACCATTTGACCCAGCAATCCCATTACTGGGTATATACCCATGGGAATATAAATCATTGTACTATAAAGACACATGCATATATATGTTTATTGCATCAGTATTTACAATAGCAAAGCCTTGGAACCAACCCAAATGCCCATCAGTGATAGACTGGATAAAGAAAATGTGGTAATATACACCATGGAATACTATGCAGCCATAAAAAGCAATGAGATCATGTCCTTTTCAGGGATATGGATGAATCTGGTAGTCATCATCCTCAGCAAACTAACACAGGAACAGAAAACCAAACACCACATGTTCTTATTCATAAGTGGGAGTTGAAAATTGAGAACACATGGGCACAGAGAGGGGAAATACACACACCAGGACCTGTTTAGGGGTTGGGGGTAAGGGTAGGGAACTTAGAGGACGGGCCAATAGGTGCAGCAAACCACCATGGCACACGTAGACCTATGTAACAAACCTTCACAAGTATCATTTTTTTAGAAGAAATCAAGAAAAAAATAGAAAATGGGAGAAAGAACCGGCCAAACCAATCTATAAGAATTGAGATAAAACATTGAAGATCTCATTGAAAGACAAAAACATATATTTATCATGACACCAAATTTGAGGCCATGTGTTTCTCTAGTGATTTTTGTTTAATGGTGTCCGACAGTGTGAATGTCAGTAGAGAATACATAGACATTTTCTAATAGATATATTTGATCACTTAGAAAGTACAAGAGACTGTATGGAGTAGAAAAAAACAAAAAGACCCTTGTCTTCTGTAGAATTATGCAGTCGGGCATACATAGTTAAATTAGTTTCAAAAATACATAGTAGAAAACAACAAGGGATTATTGATCTCCACATTCCACATCTGGATAAAAGATGTTTATGTGATTTAGTCTACTCTTTAGTTTAGCTAACTCCTCCCCCTCAGCTTTTCATATCTAATAACTCATCCTCAATATATTGCACATCTGTACCTTCAGGTAGGAAAGCAATTATATCTATTTAAATGTATTTTGAAAGAAAAAATGAATTTTTTATGCGTATGCAACAATATTAAGTAAAAACATTATTTTGCCAAAGGGTTTTGTCTCTCCTGCTTATAGTATTTGTGAGTTCATGCTCGGTGTAACTAGGTGTAACATTGATAAGGAAGACTCTCAGATGTAGTTCTAGGTTATCACCATAAGATGGCGATGCTTTGAAATACACGGCATTTTACCCCCAAACTAAATTCAGCCTTATGAAACCAAACTGATTATTGATAGTAACACTTAAAATCATTTGAGATGGAGGCTACAGTAAGTTAGATATCACCTTAAATAGGGTATCAAAACAGCAGTTAAAACCCAGATTGTGTTATCCCTCTGATTATTTTCTGCTGTTCCTCTTGGTAGCAGTCATGGATTGATTTAATTTGGCACCTCAAACCTGAACTCAGTCATTCTCTCTTGCTCTATTAGTGTTTGTCTGCTGCCCTAGTTGATCTTGCCAATTTGAGATTTGAGTAAAGCCAGTGAAGTATCACAGTCTTTCTGCTAACCCAATGTCCTGCTTAAACTTTTTTTTTTTCCTAAATAGTGATCAGACTCTAGGTGACAGGAAGAATCTGTCCTTTCCTAAAGCCTCAGATAAGAGTGGATATGTTTAATACTCTGTTTGCTCTAGTAAAAGCAGTCAAATAATATCCCTGACAACTAAAGTCTCTTCACAAAAGGAGCATATTTTAAGGCAGGCACATTTTCAATCTGCGTAAGAATTTTCAGAATATCATTACAATAATTTAATAGGTGAATTACATTGATATAGTTAAATATATTTTAAATGTTAATATTATATTTTAGCATTCTCATGCATACACTTCACATGAATATATATATGATCAATAAAGACAAATACATTTTGAAAGTGATCATTTATGTAATGATAGTAATAGCATTAACTGTATGTTTGACACTATGACAGGTTTATTAAATTAATTATATTTATTTCATTATTTAATTTATAATAAGTGGATGGAGTAGGTTTTATAAGCCTTTTTTACAGATGATAAAATACATGCTGACCATGATTTTGAAGATTGCACAGACAATAAATGCCTTTGCTGTGTTTCAAACCCACGTTAGTATATCTCTATACCTATGCTGTTTTTCATTTTGCTATACTAAAAATATATAATCTTTTCATGCTTTCTTTTTAATGAAGATGGAAAACCAAATGTCATTTCAACCATCATTGATTCCAAGTTATTGTCACATAACTGAAGACCTTTGTATTATAATCTTTCCTTAGTGTTCAGTGTGAAAGCAATTGCTTGCCTGACCACTCACTGAAAAATCTTCCCACCTCAAAACAAATTTTAAATATAATTCAAGTTTCTATATTTCAATACATTAAAGAGCATGCCTTAATATATTTGAAAGCCATTTTGTTTGATATTACTTTGATTTTAAGTTTCAATTCTCAAAAGAACAAACTCTGAATCATCTCTAGGTTCCGTTTCCTATATGAAAAATATAAGCATGTTAGTGCAATAATCCCTACTAATTCTATAGATTAATGTTTTTAAGGGAGGCATCATTCTATTAAAGTGTGGTTTGGTTTCACTGTGTGTATAAAACAGGTCTTGTTTGTTAGCTAAAAAGCTATTTCACAAAATGTGTTAAACAAAAATGTTAACTTCAACATTTTCTTCTAATTGCCATTTATAAATATAAACTTAGCCAAACTACATGCCTATTCAGCTTTGATTTTTGTTATTCTAAGCAGATCTTAATTGTTCACTTACAAAAATTTCCAAGATTTATATGTTGATACAGTCTCCTCCAAATAATAAATAAACTGTGTTTTTGTCTGATTCTTCTGAAATAAAATCTTTGTCAAAGTCTAATTAGTAAAAAACTAATTGTTCAGGGACATAGAGCACAAATATTAAGCAATACAAGCTATATCTAGAAAAGAGGCTGCTCAGGACTTAGATTCATGGACATTCTAGTACATCCAGATACAGTAGGAAAATGCATAGAGCTAAGGTTAGCATGCTGTGCTGATTACATAAAGGTCAATTTAGCATCATACATGCTAAAAGTCTAGACAAGTCTTGATAAGACATTCACTTTCAATTATAAAATCACAGAGGGGTTCAATTTAGGCTGTTTGCAGGTCTTCTAATTTAAGATGAATGTCATGGGTGAGCATGGTGGCTTCATTTTAGGAATATGGTCAAATAATAATTTATTAGAAATTAAAATTCTAACTAAAATTTAAATTAGAAAAATTATTATCATGCTTTTATGTTGTTGGGAATAGCACATGATCTCATATGCAGCTAATAGCTAGATCTATGAGAGAGAGAAAGGTGGAGATACAGACAGATAGATATTGATGATATAGATATCTACCTCTGGCTCTTGGCCTATGATCAGATGCCCTGTTTCTCCTATTTTTTTCTCCTTCCTTTAAAGAAGTACTACCTTGAGACTTCAGCTGTCACCTCCATATTAATATTTAAAAGGACTAAACCTAGATTCCACTTCCAATGCCCGTGTCTGAGTTTAATACCTATTTAAACTTATTTTCTATTGAAGGTTTCTATTTTAATCATCCTTCTTTTTCTCAAACTGAAAATGCTAAGACATTTATCTCTCAAGACCTCTTCTATATTTTCTGCCTCTTTCATTTTTCTGCCAATTACTTCAGTTAAAAACCTCTCAGTTACTTCTAATTCAACTTTTCTTTCATCTCTGTCTTAATTTTCTGTTGGTGGTTTAATAAATCACCTCTAACATAGTGGCTTAACACAGCACAAATTGATTGTCTTATCGTATGGAGGTCAGAAGTCCAAAGTGGATCTCACTGGGCTAAAATCAGGATGTCAGCAGGGCTTTTCTCCTTCCAGAGGAGAAGATCTTTTTACCAGCCTTTCCAGCTGCTGGATGCCACCTGCATTTACTGATCTGTGGCAACCTTGCAGCATCCTCAAAGCCAGCAAGGTGAATCTAGTTCGCACACTGGCATTTCCCTGGTTCTCTTTCTTACGTCTCTCAGGGACACTTTGCCATTACATTTGCCCACTCAGATAATCCAAGATAATCACTCTGTTTCAAGATAAGCTGATTAGTAACCTTAGTTCTATTTGCAATCTTAATGCCTTCTTCATCATGTAACATGGCATATTCATAGATGACAAGGATTAGCACATGGACATCTTGTTTATTGGGGGGCGGTACCAGTGCCTACCACAATCTCCCATCAGTAGGTAACAATGTCACAGAGACTTTTTGTGTTTCACATGAATTTATGATCCAGTAGCCTGTCTTCTACTCATTAGCTCTTACACATGTAATGTTCAGATTCCAAAACATCTAATTTTATTTTCTCAGTTAGAAATTAAGAGGTCTGTTTCCAATCCTGCACCACTAATTAACTTTTCTGGGATCTAAATGTTGTACCCTGCTCCCCCCATATTTCTATGTTAAAATATTAATCACCAAGCTGATAATATTAGAAAGTGGGGCCTTTTGAGAGACGATTATGGGAAATGTTCCACATGAGGACACAGTGAGGATGCTGCAACCTAAAAGAGGATGCTGAAATCTTGGACTTCCCAGCCTCCAGAACTGTAAGAAATAAATTTCTGTTGTTTGTAAGCTACCTAGTCTATGATGGTTTGTTATAGGAGCCCTAATGGGCTAAGATGGCCTTATAAAAGTGACTTAAGATTTTGGACTTTCTTATAGATAAACCAATATTATTAGGCTAGATGATTTATAGGACTCCTTCCATTTGTTAAATAATATATATTTCAGAATAAATAATAAAATTATAATTGAATTGGATTATCATTTCTTAAATAATGACATATGAATAGTCAAGTCCAAATGTACTATATGTATAGTTAAGACAGAATTTGAATAAAATGTCTTCTCTTTAGTCGTATAAGAAATTGAAGTTTCTTCCATGTGTGTTTCTGTTAAGAATGATGAGACAGAATGATTCTATCTTTTCTGTGGTAAAAATACTCTGAATGTTCTGTTCATAGGAGAGAAAAGATTATTTAGATGCATTTGTCAAACTTTTTTCATAACATTTCTAGATTTTTCTAACATTTCTAAACATTTCTAAACCATGACTTTATTTGACAATATTAGTTAATACATAGACTGAAATACTACAGATAGCATTTCTATATAGGTAGTGTTTAACATGATAATTTGGCTACTACAATGAAAAATATACAATGATAACAAAATGTTGTGGCTGCCTGGGAGGCAGCAATATGATAAAAATTAAAAACTGCATTTAATTTTTAACATACAGTAATTTTTTTATACCCACAAACAGAATCACCTCTGGAACAATCTCTAAACTAGACTCTTAATAATATTAACAATTTGCTGAATTTTATGAATATGAAATATTCATAATCTGTATCCACATTAAATAACATTTATCCTTTGCATGCCTCTAACACTAAGTAATTTTGAACCAAGGAAATAATATTAGCCAGTGTTTTTTTTGTTTGTTTGTTTGTTTGTTTTTGAGACAGAGTCTCATTCTCGTTGCCCAGGCTGGAGTGCAATGGCGCTATCTCAGCTCACTGCAACCTCTGCTTCCCAGGCTAAAGCAATTCTCCAGCCTCAGCCTCCCGAGTAGCTGGGATTACAGGCACCCAACACCATGCCTGGCTAATTTTTGTATTTTCAATAGCGATGGGGTTTCACCATGTTGGCCAGGCTGGTCTCCAACTCCTGACCTCAGGTGATCCTCCCACTTCGACCTCCCAGTGTGCTGGGATTACAGACTCAATTCTCTGTCTTATTTAGTTGCTACTATTGTTAATGTTCATTGTTGTTCCTTAGACTAGAAGATTATAGGACCATATTTTTAAGGCGTTGTAATCTAAACATTATTAAATTTATGGAAAGATGTAATTTTCTTATAATCACATGTGAAAGAGAATTGCAGTTTGTGTTTGAAAGGTATGTCCCCACCTTAGAAACTATAAATTGTCATGTAGTGAGTAATATTTGAATGAATTTTGGTAATGAAGGACAAAGTTTTATTATTATTATTATTATTATTATTATTATTATTATTTTGCTTTTGGTATTATGCAACTGAAAAAACTTTGCTCAAAATGAATAAAAATGAAATTATTTTATGGTGAATTAAATGTTCCCCTTGGTCTCCAATATTTCTTTTTTTAAATTCCTTTTAACAAAGGTGCTGATTTTTTTCTTTTTTGTCCAACTGTTTTCCAAGGCCGTCAGTATTTCACAGATTATTGCTAACTGTTTCTAAGAAGTTACCAGTATGGCTGCAGCATAAATTTGGAGTCAACTAGAGTTAATCCTTTTTATTTTTATTTTTATTTTTTTTTGGAGTTTCCCTCTTGTTGCCCAGGCTGGGTTGCAATGGCTTGATCTTGGCTCACTGCAACCTCCGCCTCCTGGGTTAGAGCCATTGTCCTGCCTCAGCCTCCCGAGTAGCTTGGGATTAGAGGCATGTGCCACCACGCCCGGCTAATTTTGTGTTTTTAGTGGAGACGGAGTTTCACCATGTTGGTCAGACTGATCTCGAACTCCTGACCTCGTAAACCTCCCGCCTCAGCCTCCCCAAGTGCAGGGATTACAGGCGTGAGCCACTGTGCCCAGACTGATTTTATTTTCAATACTGAAACTGGACTGTATGAGGTAAAAATTTATGCTGTCGATGTAATTGGACTTGAGATAATTAGTCTTAATTACTGTAGTAATTGTAATATTTGAGTCAAATAGTGAAACAAACACAACAAGCGAACATGCTCCTCCCTGAATGCAGGGAGGAATTCCTGATTCTTCTAAGGCGACAACTGTGCCACTTCTATACAAGAAGGCCATGTTGACTGTTCATTAAAGTTCAGGTGAATTGGGGGAAGATGTATTTTCCACTCTTTTTGGTTTGTTTGTTTTTGTTGTTGTTTGTCTGTTTGTTAAGATGGAGTCTCACTCTGTAGCCCAAGCTGGAGTGCAGTGGCACGATCTCGGCTCACTGCAACCTCTGCTTCCGGGTCTCAAGCAATTCTTGTGCCTCAGCCTCCCGAGTAGCTGGAACTACAGTCGCCTGCAAGGACGCCCGGCTAGATTTTTTAAAAATTATTTTTATTAGATATAGGGTTTTGCCATGTTGCCCTGGGTGGTCTGGAACTCCTGAGCTCAGGAGATCCACCCTCCTCGGCCTCCCAAAGTTCTGGGATTATAGGCGTGAACCACCACACCTGGCCTTTTTTCTATTCTTTAAATTTAGAAAATTGTTAATCTTAGGCATTTTTTTTTACCTTTAATTATTTGCTGCCAATGATGAATCTTATCTATCAAGAAGGTGAATATCAAGTAATATCCCACAAACCATTTAAGGCAATACTTAAGACATGATATTAATATTCTGCAAATTGTTCCACATTTTGTAAGATACGCAATAAGAGAAAGATAGAGGTGTTGGAACTTTTATAAAGAAACCATAAAAAAAGACACATATTGATAAGCAGTCAAAAATGTCACATTATCTATTGCTAATTAGCATGCCGATTTAAAATAATTATGTTGCTCTATTTAATGTGAGTGTGTTCATTTCTGAATAGTTATATGTGATTACCATTTATAAATATGTATTTTATATATATACGTATATATATAAATGAAAAATGTCCTTGTTGCTGCATAAATATTAAATGTTGGCCAAATCTCTCTCTCTCTCAAAAAAGAAAAAGAGTCACAAGATATGTGATTGGCATCAAAATAGTAATAATCCATTCATTTGTCATTGTTAGACATCCGTATGATGCTTCTGCATATTTTTGGTTACGGATTAATAAAAACAGAATTGTGATTTAAAAGAAAAGTGAAAAATAGCTCTCTGGGAATGGAGACATAAAAAGGGTTAGGTTTTCATGGTGTCCCAGAGGTTGTTCATCATCTTGTGTTAAAACAACACACAAAGTCCCTGAAGATTCAAACACTAAGTGGACGACATCTATTAAATCATAAAAAATGAGGGCACGGATGTCCAGAACAAACCAAGCAGTAGCAGTTTATAACAAAGGACAGGGAACACACAAATAAACAGAAGAAAATCTCGCAAAAAGTGAACAGCAAAATTACAGTTCTCAGGAAATAGAGATGCGATGTCAGATGCGTGTGCACTGTAATTAAGATCTAACCAAAACAGAAATATTCACAATGTATACAAAGAAGAGACATCGATGTCATAGTTTGTCACATCAAATCAGCACTGCAAAAAAGAACAAAAACATTTTTTAAAACTTTTTTTGCAGTTTTTTGTTTAGGAATACAATTCAGTGTACTTAAATCTTGAAAAGCTAGCAGAGCTATTATACATTATAAAATGAGTCAGATTAAAAATAATTTTTAATGTAATAATGCTAAAGCCACAATGAATTTTTTTTTTTTTTGCTTTTTTAGAGGCCTCAGTTAAGAGTGTTGTTATTTCAGACTCCCCAAAAGGGAAAAGTGAGGTCACAGCGCAGAAAGGATTAAAAGACAAACTGTGCAGTGGCAAGGTGGATGTCCTGCAGCTGTGGCGGTGGAACTAATCAAACATGTATGTCTGATTAATTTTGATGTGTTAGAGGGCATTTGGCCTCCTGAAGAGAGAAGTCATGAATTTCATAATGAGGCCCAAAATGGAACAAATATAGCTATAGCCTTGAGAGTATTTGCTCTGAAAATGCTTTCCTTATGGAAAGTATCCATTTATATTATATTTTAGTAGGTGTTTAAAAATCGCAGAATTAATGAGCTTCACTCCATAAAGAATCTCCCAAGTAAGCTAAAGAAATAGAAATTTTGACACCAAAAATGAAACGCTGAGTGAAACACCGATACATTATATGTCCACTATGATTTACAGAAAGAAGATTGTTAACGTATCACACTTTTTTTCCAGGACAGTCAGAGATCTTGATGAATGTTTGTTTACGTATTACTAATCAGACAGCCACATTTTTTGCCTTTTTCCTTGTCTTTCTTAATTTTAGTTATTGATGGAGGAAACAAAAATTCTAGTTGGATATAGTGAGAATTGTTACTCCGTATAAAAACAAGCATTTAATTGATAAAATTCCAGTATACTTTTTGTACATTATTAAGCGATATGAGATGTTTTAAATAAATGTTGTATTTAAGCATAGAAATATATTAAATATGCATTATGGAATATAAGATTACTATAGAAGAATACAGTTGATTTTCCATTTTCCCAATTAGATTATGCAAATTTTGGAAAATGGATTAATAGGACAAATGTCTATAACAATTTATTTTTTAATTTAGATATATCTATGCACATTATGTATATGGAACTATAAATAATTTGGCAATATTATTTTTATCTATTTTTACATTTCATATAAACATTTTACACAAACTTTTTACATTAATTTTTGGCACTGTCTTTTTTATTACGAGAGCTAACTTTTACATTGTGAAATATTTTTCTAAGGCATGTAATCTTTATTACCACCTAAGTTCTTAAAGAAACTGTATATCTCTGAAAATCTTATTTATAATATTCTTTGCATAGCATTAGGGCATTATTATTTTACAATTTTATATTGAGGCGTGTATTTATGATTGCTAAAACCTAACCGCTTGCAATTGTGAACTGTTACCTTCAAGTATAAAAGTTAACTTTGGCTGTCTTAACTTTGTTAGTATTCTGTTGGTTTATGTATATAATCATCTAAATCATTGTTTCTTGAACCAATCCAGTATGTTGAAAATAAAGACACTGAAAGAGCCCTAAATAAAAAGAGATAATCAATAAAATTAGAATATAAAAAGATGTTTGTCCTTGTTTCTTCAGAGAAATTGGGTGGAGGAATGGTAATCCATCTTTTATAAGGTTACACAGCTAAGGAAAAGGTCATACGATGTTAGGATGGGGAAGAAACAAGTTTTAGGTGGTCAAATTCATTTATGTTAGAGACAACTTGAAATACACTGAATTTTATATTGTATTTTTTTAATTTTTAGGATTTTACAATATATTTTTGGTTAATGTCTCTCATGCATTACACTCAATGGGATACTGTATCTAAAACTTTATAATTAAAATCAGGGTCTTTTGGGTAAAAATGTTATATCATATATAAAACTTTTCCACGATGAGTGTTTGAATCAATACTTGTAAGGTGAAAACCATAACCTATCACTGATACATTACGAATCATAACTAAATGGAACAATATCTGATGCTTTTGCATTAGAGTAATCAGTTATATCAAGACTTCAAATCTTCTCATATTGAACTACAGATTCAACACAGCCCCATTTATAGCCCTAGCTGGCTAATTTACAGAAATTGGTAAGTTAATTTTAAAATGTACATGGAAATGCAAAGTAAGTAGAATAGCTAAAACAAACTTGAAAAAGAACAACTGTGTTAGAATATTCATTCTACCAGATTTCACTCTTACTCTAAAACTACAATAATCCAGACAGTGTGATATTGGCAAGAGATATATAAATGATAAATGGAACACAACCAAACTTCTAGAAATTGATACACACATATATGTTCAACTGTCTTTCAACAAATGTGAAGATACTTCAATAAAAAAGTGAAAGTGTTTTTAAAGGCAGTACTGGAAAAATTGGGTACCTATATTTAAAAAAAACTCAAGTTCTTCTATGTGATATACAAACATTTAATTGAAATAGATAATGCATACAAACATAACATCTTAAAATATAAAACTTCTGAAGAAAAATATAAAATGAGAAAAAATGTTTCAGGACTTGAGATAAGCAAAGATAGCTTAAACTGGGCACAAAAACAGGAGGAATAAAATTTTTTAAACGTTACATTAAAATTCATCAAAATAATAATAATTATTGCTTTCTGACGCACTGTTTAAAAAGGCAGGCAATATAGAGGGAGAAAATATTTACATATATTTTGTCTATAAACAACTTGTATTCAGAATATTAAAAGTAATTACCACTCGATAACAAAAAGATAAACAATTTGATAATACGACAATAAATGTGGACATCGCACAAAAAAGGAAAGTAAATAGATAGACAAGAAGCTCAGAAATCATTAGAAACAATGAAATTAAACCACTATATACTCATCATAATGATTAATTTAGAAAACCTGATATACTAAGTATTGGCATTTTGGGGCACCTAAAATTCTCATTCGTTCTCATGGCTGTGTGGAAATGATATAGCCACTCTGTAAATCACTGAAACTATTGCTTATAAGGTTAAATCTACCTTTATATTATGATACAGGAATTCTACTTCTAGATATTTATTCAACAGCAATGAAAAGATATGTTTTCACAAATACTTATATGAAAAGTTATTATCAGTTTTATTCATAATAGCTTGTTATGGACAGAATTATTCATTCCAAAATTTATTTGTTAAAGCTGTAACCCATAATGTGAATCAATTTGGATACAGCATTTTTAAAGGGGCAATTAGAGTTAAATGAAGTTTTAAGTGGGGCCCTAATTTAACAGGACAGGTATCCTTATAAGAAGAGGAGGAGATACCAGAAGTATGCACACAGACAAAAGGCCATGTGTGTACAGCAAGAAAAGGGCGCTCTGTAAGCCAAGAAGAGAAACATCACCAGAAATCAACTCCGCCAGGACCATTATCTTGGCCTTCCTGCTTTCAGAACTGTGAGAAAATAAATATTTTTGGTTTAAGCCATTCAGTCTGTGGTATTCTGTCATGGCAGTCATAGCAAACTAATACATAGCTCAAATTAGAAACAACACAATTATTCATAAACTGATGAATTAGCATACAAACTGTAGGACAGATATACAAGTATTGACTATTCAATATTTAAAACAAGCAGACTATGGGTGAATCCAACAACATGGATGAATATCAAACCCCCTGTAATAAGTCAGAGAAACCAGAAGCAAAATGCTAGATACTCCAGGATTCTATTTATATGAAATCACAGAATATGCAAAATTACATGACTATAAACAGGTAAGTTTTTGACAAGAGGGAGAAAAATTGACAGAAAAGGGTACTGAGAGAACTTTTTATCAGTATGGTGAAAGTGTTATTTTTGGTGTGTGTGGTGGTGGTTACATGATTAAATACATTTGTCAAAAAGTATCTTTGTGTACTTAGTTGAAAAAATATGATAGTATGTAAGTCACATCTTAATAAAGTTTACCTTAAAATCAAGAGAAACAATAGGAAATAGAAGTATACCTGAGAGTGAGTCAAAACACGAAATATATTTATGTATTTATTTATTTTTTGAGACAGAGTCTCACTGTTTCCCATACTGGAGTGGAGTGGAGTGACCCTGGCTCACCGTAACCGCTGCCTCCTGGGCTCAAGTGATCCTCCGACCTCAGCCTACTGAGTAGCTGGGACTACAGGTGCAGCACCACAGCTGGCTAATTTTTTATTTTTCATAGAGATAGAGTTTCACTATGTTGCCTAGGCTGGTCTCGAACTTCTGAGCTCATGCCGTTTGCTCACCTTGGCCTCCCAAAATGCCGGGATTACATGTCTGAGACATTGTGCCAGGCCAAAATATGGAATTTAAAACATCGATCTTAAAAGTGCAATGTTACATATGTTGAATAAAATAAAATGCTAGGTAGAGATTTTTCAAAGAAACTACAAATAATGAGAAATGACAACAAGGCAATTTTAGTACAGAAATACGCAAAAACTGAAAGTAAGAATGCACTAGATAGGTTTAAAGGCAGATAAAAACAAAAAATCAACCAAAAAACAGCCAAAGAGAGAATTAAAAATCTGGAACATATTCCAGTAAAGAGTAAATATAAACCATGATGAAAGTACATGACACACGATACCAGAACATGTAGAAAAGACACAGAGCATACACTCAGAAGGTGAAAATATGTTTATGTGCATTGCAAAAAGAAGCCAAAAAAGAAAATAGAATAGAAGCTATATTTAAAGAGATAATTGCTGAGAATTTTCCATAGCTGATGAAAGAAAGCAACCCATATTTTCAAAAAATTCAATAAATTCTTTATCTATCTATCTCTCTGTCTATTGAATTATAGTTCAATTTCTAAAAGCCACATAAAAAATAAAATCTTAAAAGCAGCCATAGAAAAACCCATGAGCTTCTTTAGCCCACAGCTCACCTCTCAACAGAAACATTGGAATAGGAGGCAATAGAATATTTTTAAAATATTGAGAGAAAGTGACTACTACTACATTCTCTGAAAATGTGACTTAAAAATGAAGGAGAAGTTAAGATATTTTGGGAAAAAAAAAATGGAATCATTTTGTCCGCCTCAGACTTGCTGATGTTCTTCAATATGAAAAACAGACTTCAGATGAAATTTCATCAATTTAGCATAATCTTTAATAAAACAAATGTGCATGTCCTACTGTCTAATGCAACCAGTAAAGGGTAGGTTTTGCAATTATAAATTAATAAACTAATAGAGACACAAAATAAAGTATTAAAATATAATTGAAAGTAAAAACAAAGTGAGAATATAAAAACACCTTGTTTAAAAAAAAGCAATTGGAAAACATAAAGAAAAATTATTTTCAAAACCAATTATATCATTAAATTCTTTAAGTGGAAATTGACTTTCAAACAAGGTCTATTTGTCAGATTCAATTTTTTAAAAATGAACCCATTAATATGTGTCTTAAAGATGAAACATAAGTTAATAGAATATAGTAAGTTTGAAATAAAAGTATGGGAAGAGATATACCATACAATCATTAATTAAACACAAGTGGTGTAGCCAGGTTACAAGTATGGATGCTTCTATTAGAAAATATCATTATGTTGCAATAACAAATAACTCTGTAACTCATTAGTTTACCAAAGGTTTATTTCATGTGCTCACTAAGTGAAACTCACAGGTCCATGACAAAAATAAATAAATAAATAAAAGCCCTGGCATGTCTTACGCTGTCTATGTAAAGGCTCTTCTCAAAAATGATATTCTGATCACAACCCACTGGCCAGCATTATCCCAAAGTCATGGAAACTAGGAAGTGGATTACCCCAAATACCTGGGTCTCTAATAACTACTCAGACATAAAGGATGCACACTTTATGATTCTATTTATAAAAAGTTCAAAAAAAGGGCAAAATAAAATATATGGTGAGAAATCAGCATGGTGGTTACTTTTGTGTAAAAAAGGAGGTTATGTGGTTGTTCACACTGTGGAAAGTTATTGAGTTGTACTTTTATGTTTTGTTCCCTTTATGTGTGCTGTATTTCAGTGGAACTATTACAAGAGTAAAATTAAAATGGGAACAAATGAAGAGAAACACTGGTGGTTCAGACTCACTCAGAAGGTAGAATATAAAAGGAGTCTGGCAGAAGTGAAATATTTAGTTTTGAACAGAAGGAGAGTTTTTCTTAACCGTTTACAACTTTTTTCATTGGAATGTAAACACCTACTTTTATCAGGAACCTTTTAGTTCCATATAACAGAAATGCAATTCAGCCAGTTGAATCATGATGTAAATTTGTTGGCTCACAAACTGAATTTTAGAGAGCGTTTTGCATTTGGGTTCTGTTAGATGTCAGGTGCTATAACCCCAATGTTGAAAATTTGTCTTCTGTTTTCTCTTAATCTTTATTGTCTATGTGTTTCCTTTGTATCTGTGGTCTCTCCCCACAGGAATGAGAAGACAGATTTTGGAAGAGTCAGAGAAATCCAGTTCTTGTAGTATCTAACTACATTAAAAATTGTTAATTTGCCACAAAGCCAAAGAATTCCCTAAAAAACCCCTTGACTTACTTGGGCTACATGAGTCCCCATCTGACTAGCATACCTGTAACACATGGGATGGAGGAAAATGTGGCTCCTTAACTGAAAGGAGAAAGGTAGACAAATATGTCCCATTCCAATTCCCATCTAGCTGCTATTCTTTACCTGGTTCTTATTTTGTCAACCAAGCTTCTTGAAAGACTTGACGGCTCCTTATATGCTATTCTTTCTCATTCCAGGTAATCTGCCCTGTGCATTTATGGTGGCCACACTGGTATCTTATTGCCAAATCAATCAATGGCTCTTGGTAGATAAATCCAAAGGGACATTTTCTTGTTTATTATTTGACTTTTCTACCTTTCATTTGTTCTCCTAAATGTAAAAAGTCATTATTTCTATAATACTTTCTCATATTTGTCTTCACGCCTTTGTAACCATCTCTCAGTTCTTATAGCCCCTACCACTGGTCAAAAACAAATGTTTTTAATAAACAAATGGGAAAAAACTGGAAGCATTCCCTTTGAAAACTGGCACAAGACAAGGATGCCCTCTCTCACCACTCCTATTCAACATAGTATTAGAATTTCTGGCCAGGGCAATCAGGCAAGAGAAAGAAATAAAGTGTATTCAAATAAGAAAAGAGGAAGTCAAATTGTTTCTGTTTGCAGGAGACATGACTGCGTATTTAGAAAACCCCAGTGTCTCAGCCCAAAATCTCCTTAAGCTGATAAGCAACTTTAGCAAAGTCTCAGGATACAAAATCAACTTGCAAAAATCACAAGCATTCCTATACACCAATAATAAACAAACAGAGAGCCAAATTGTGAGTGAATTTCCATTCACAATTGCTACAAATAGAATAAAATACCTAGGAATACAACTTACAAGGGATGTGAAGGACCTCTTCAAGGAGAACTACAAACCACTGCTCAAGGAAATAAGAGAGGACACAAACTAATGGGAAAACATTCCATGCTCATGGATAGAAAGAATCAATATCATGAAAATGGCCATAGTGCCCAAAGTAATTTATAGATTCAATGCTATCCCCATCAAGCTACCATTGACTTTCTTCACAGAATTAGAAAAAAAAAAACTACTTTAAATTTCATATGGAACCCAAAAAGAGCCCACATAGCCAAGACAATCCTAAGCCAAAAGAACAAAGCTGGAGACATCATGCTACCTGACTTCAAACTATACTACAAGGCTACAGTAACCAAAACAGCATGGCACCAGTACCAAAACAGATATACAGACCAATGGTATGGAACAGAAGCCTCAGAAATACACCAAACATCTACAACCATCTGATTTTTGACAAACTTGACAAAAACAAGCAATGGAGAAAGCATTCCCTATTTAATAAATGGTGTTGGGAAAACTGGCTAGCCATATACAGAAAACTGAAACTGGACACCTTCTTTACACTTTATAAAAAAGTTAACTCAAGATGGATTAAAGACTTAAACCTAAGACCTAAGACCGTAAAAACCCCAGAAGAAAACCTGGGCAATATCATTCAGGACATAGGCATGGGCAAAGACTTCATGACTGAAACATCAAAACCAATTGCAACAAAAGCCAAAATAAACAAATGGGATCTAATTAAACTAAAAAGCTTCTGCACAGCAAAATAAACTGTCATCAGAGTGAACAGGCAACCTACGGAGTGGGAGACAGTTTTTTCAATCTGTCCATCTGACAAAGTTCTAATATCCAGAATCCACAAAGAACTTAAACAAATTTACAAGAGAAAATCAAACAACCCCATCAAAAAGTGGGCAAAGGATATGAACAGACACTTCTCAAAAGAAGACATTTATGCAGCCAACAAACATATGAGAAAAAGCTCATCATCACTGGCTATTAGAGAAAAACAAATCTTCGACGTCTCCATGATTCCACGATAAGTGCTGTCTCTGACACCTACTCAGGCTGCTCCCTCTGTTTAGAATTACTTTTCACTTGGTACTAACCTGTGCCACTCCAGTTTGGCCTAAAGATCTAGGTCAGGTTTAGTCTACTGAATACAGGTAAGTAAAAGGTCTCTGA
Source organism: Homo sapiens (assembly GCF_000001405.40). Classification (NCBI taxonomy): domain Eukaryota; kingdom Metazoa; phylum Chordata; class Mammalia; order Primates; family Hominidae; genus Homo; species Homo sapiens. The sequence goes on along the minus strand of NC_000005.10, from coordinate 23,124,163 downwards.
AGCACTTCGGCATATACCAATATAACTTACACACCACTCTATTGTGATTACATTGTCCGTCTCTCCTATTTGCACATACATTGCTTTAGGCTAGGGTCTTTACATTTCTGTACCAAGACCCTGGAGAAAAGTAGGCCCTGGAGAAAAGTAGGCCCTCAGTAGTTATGGCAAAATGGGAAGGTGGAACATTGCCTTGTTGACAAGCCCAATTTCTGCTGTGAAATAGGAAGCTCAGTCATTTACTGATAGAAAAGTCTGCAGAACTGGGATACAGTGTTTGATAAGAGGCAGGACTTTTGGAGTTGATAAGGAGCAAATTCTATTCCTAAGAGGTGCAGTTAGCTCCTCTAAAGTTTCTAATTCCTGGGTCCTAATAAATCTTACCATGCTATGTTCTCCTTTATTGATGCTTACCACTCTGAATGAAGAAGACAAGACATATCGCTAGATTGAGCAGAGATAAAGTGTCAAGAGGTGAGGGATAGGGTAAAAAACAATGCAGTGAGAATAATTTCAAGATGGTCATTTCAATCTAGCACATTTAGAGTTGGTTTGCTTAGAGAAAAATGCTGAAGCTACAAGACAGACCGAAGGAAAAGAAGATAGAATGGAGCTATTAATGAAGTCAAAGTTCTTACAGAATAGATGTAAAGAAAGAAAGAGAATAGATTCTTTCCCTTTCACTCACCGCTAGTTTTTGGAAACATATGTATATACTTGCTTCACCTTTTATTCCTCTCCATCCATATTTATGAACTATAATACTGAATTTTTCATATGCCGCCTATGCTGAGTCTGTTTCCTGAAGGCCACCTATAACTTCAAGTTGAGAAATCCAAAATATCTTTTAAAATTCTTTATCATTCTTCCTACAGAAAGTGTCAGCATTACTTATTCCACTGAAAATTTTCTTTTTCTGTTCCTTCATACCTGTTTTGCCAATGGAAATGATATCTACCCTAGTTTCAAGGATGCTTCTCATGACTCAACTTAAATTGCAAAATTAGGGTCACTTATGTTTTTATTGATGAAATATATATATAAAAGTATTTTTAATTTAAAAATTTTGGAAGGTATCAATAAACATTTATAAATATTAAATAGTTGATAACTCTATAGAAGCTTAATATTAATATTAAGATTTTTTAAATTCTCATTTGGTATTTTATTATAGGATTTTAACAATAGTGATCAGATAAAAGTTTATCTAAACTTAAGAAGCAGATTCCTTTGTCTTTGATGATGGAAATTATACATTATACAAAATTTAAAAACAATATTATACTATTGTTGAAGTCAATAAAAGGCCATTAAAACTCTGAAATTTTATTTAACCCATGTTAGCAAATATTGATTCAGTTGTAAAATGCCCAGTGCAATTTATGTCTTAATGCATCTATTTATTAACTATTCAAAAGTGAATAAGAGAAAAGCATAATTTAATAAAAGAAATCATAGTCTAGTTGTCTAAGATAGCCAAGTACATAGGCAGCTCAACATAGTAATTTTTCCCTGGGAATTCTGTAAATTCTGGGCTGGAGGGGGCTTCAAAACTATTATTAACTTAGAACTTGTTTGATAAAATGAAAATTATAATATTTTACAAAAGTATCTTATAGTATGTATTAAGCAGATTCAAAAATTATCTGGGATTATTATTTTAATTTACTCTTCTGAACATAGTTAGAATCTTTACAGCTAAGCCTGCTTCTTATGATACTTAAATCTAATGATTATGGAACTCAATTTCTCCTCTTAGAAAGTTCTGTAATTCCTGCTTAATAAAAATTTAAGCCTAGAATTTTAAATATGTTTTCGCCTCAATCCCTATATCCTAATTAGCTTGATACAACTAAAATAAAATTACTCAGCCTCAATCTTAACCATAAACAGAAACAGGAAACAACAAAATAAATAAAACAATTGAAATTGTATACTAGCATTATATTAAAAGGTATTTAATCATGTGTTCAGGAACATGCTATTATTATTTTTACATGATCAAAGACATTAAGGTATGATTGTAAATAACATACAAATAGACAAATTTCAGAACATTAAAATTTTTTTAAGGGAATTACTAACCATGGTTTGAAAAAGAATGTAAGCTTACTATCAGCTCACAGTAATTTCTCAAATGACTTATAATTTTAACTATAATATTTTGTGAATAAACATAATGACATAGATATTTTTCTTTGTGTAATAACCCTTCTATGTTCCCTTTAAAGTTTTAAGTAAATTTTTGGCAAGTTTCTAATTTCAAATTCTGAAAAAAAATGGTTTCTGCATGTATATCATTGCTGGAAAATAGTAAAACAATGTATTTAGTTAGATTGTCTTAGATTTCAACTAGCAGAAAACTTTCAAGTACATAAGTTAGTAATTAACTTAAAAAGCAGTCTTATTTCTTTTCATCTCTCTGGTCTTTCATACCACGTGTTAACTTATTCTCATGGTTACTTACCTCACACTGTAAAGATGGCTTCCATTTTAACAACCATAAGTAGAAATAATAGCATTCAACAAAATAAAGCATCCTTTCTGGAAGAGCTTTTTTTGTTGTTTTAAGTTATCAATAGTATTCTAGAATTTATGACTGAATATTTAACAAAATATACAACTGAAAAAAAACTTTAGAATGTCGAATTTTCAACTCATCTTGCTATCTTTTAAAATCTCATATGACGTATACTCTCTTCATATTTAGAAAGAATATTCAAATAAGTATTTAAATAATATTGCAGTACATGAAAGAGTAGACATAGAGAAGAAAGCAATGATCCTTTAGTATGAGAGATTTGAGAATTCTTTCAGTTCTTTGAATACTTAGGCAAGTGGGAAATCAGACCTTACGGGCCTAGGTTCATTGAATATAAGGAAATAAGTGGGGGAATCAGACCGTTGAATCTATTTCCCTGCAAGTAGAGAAAATCTATTTCTAATAAACCCTTTTGTGTAATGTCTAGTCATTCCTCGTGGGAGGAAGTGTCTGCTCTGTCTGTGAGAATCCAGAATCTAATCTAGTAGTTCTCAGCAACAAAATGTTTTCTTCTTAGGTAACCTTAATTGCACTACCCTAAATCTCCTCCCATTATTCCTAATTGCACTTTCTTGGTGAGCACTGAAGAACAGCTTCATGTGTTGTGTTTTCCATATAAACTTTTAAAATCCTTTTATTTGAGCTAGAAATAGAATGATACTCTAAATATATATTTACTCAGTTTTATGTTAAAGTTTTCTTTGAATTCACTTTACTTGGACTACAATTTTCAACTTTTAAATTTAAATCTCTTAATTTCATCAAATACATATAAACAAAAACTTTTATAAGTTTATAGTGTCATTCATTTTACTAACATTTTCTTAAAAATTTACTTCTATTATTAATCCTCTTTCTCATCCAATATTTGTCAGTTGCATAAATCTAAAAAGCTTTGAATATCTGCAGCTGAAGTCAAGGAATTCAAAATGAATTATCAACTTCAGAAATAAATGCAGTTGTTTGTCTCCTATTTCTCATAAATTAGGATTTTTTTCTATCACTTGTATAACAGCTTTTACTCTAACTTAGAAATTGTATTCTGAATCTAAATTTTTCTAATTGCAGATTATTATAAAACGTGAAACAAAAATTCTACTATTATTCTGACTATAGATCTAGCTATAAAAGTAATTTTTCTTTACATGTACAAATACAAACATAACCAGATCCAAATTAAATTATTTTATAAATTTATTCTCAATTTTGTTTGGCTTCATCTCAATATCAGTTAATAAGCTGATTTTGTCAACGTGTGCATACACATTTTTATGGTATTTTGTTCATAGTTACATTTTAATTCTGCTGCTTTACTACATGGGATCTGTCATAGTGTTGCTTCAATTTTGAATATGCTTCAATTTTGAATAGCTGCTTCTCAGCTACTCTCCGATTCACTTCTGTCTCACATACATAGTGACTCCACTCCCGCTCTGACACTTACAATTATTTAAATATACTATGTTTCAGGATATTTTAAAAATTTATACTATGATATATTGAATTAGGTTATGTTATATACAAATGTCATTTCAGTATAGTATAATTGTCATAATTTTTTTTAATGAAAGCATTGGACCAATAGTGTTGGTGATAATACTTTAATATTAACCATTGGACCTGATTGCCAGTCACAGCAGTCCAATTTTTTTTAACAGGGTTGAGAGCTTTATATACTTACATCTACTGCTGTTGATCACAAAGGTGCCCATATTTCTTTAGAACATCTACCCCAAGGTAGTTACCTTGGAAGCTGAGTAAACATAAACTCAAACATTTATTTTATATCTGCTTCAAATGCATATTTCCAGACAGTAGTCCTGATCAGGACTCCAAATTCTTAAAATTTTAATTTACTCAAATTGTAGCTACAGAATAAGTGTAATAATGTGCTAAAAATTCCCTTTACAATTTGCTCTCAATTTTTCTTCCCAGATGTGTAACTACTTCTCATACCCACCCCATATTCTGAAGACACAAGATTAGCTGACAGTCTTCAAATAGCTAAGCAATTTCAAACTCTAAATTCTACTTTACTTCTCTCTTGGATTTTCACTACTTTCTCCAACTGGAGAAAAACTCTTTTATGATGGATAGCTTTCAATGTGTTTGTCTTACATATGAAATGCAAGTTCCCTGAGATTGAGAAAATACAAACATGGAAAACACCCCCCAAAGTGTGAATTTTTAGAATTACTCCCCAAATTTTCTGTATTAGAGAACCCTAAAAAATTGCCATCTTAGAGCTTTTCAAATTCTCAGAGGTTATTATCTGAGAACATATTTAAAATTATTTAATGAAAGTATTATTATTGTTATTGTTATTTTGAGATGGAGTCTTGCTCTGTTGCCCAGGCTGGAGTGCAGTGGCATGATCTCACCTCATTGCAGCCTCCACTTCCCACGTTCAAGTGATTCTCCTGCCTCACCCTCCTGAGTAGCTAGGATTACAGGCATGTACCAACATACCTGAGTAATTTTTGTATTTTTAGTAGAGATGGGGTTTCACCATGTTGAGCAGGCTGGTCTTGTACTCCTGACCTCAAGTAATCCACCAGCCTTGGCCTCCCAAAATGTTGGGATTACAGGCATGAGCCACTGCGCCCAGCTGAAAGTAATTTTTAAACAAGAAATCTTGCTTAATACAATGAAAATTATTTTTTGAATCTATCATAGACATGCAAGAAGAAATTGCTGAAAATTTCAGGAATTCAAAGTGTAGGTTTGTCTGTATTAAAGGTATATTGAAGGAGATAACAGAGGAGTTACATGGAGAGGCAAGTGAATATTTTATTCTTTTATGCCATAATGATCTCTGTGTCTTATATGAGACAAAATGCTTCATGACAGTATGTCTTTTCTCACATGTAGAATTGCTTTATTCATCCCTCATTCCAGAAAGAAAAAAAGTATATGTTCTGCAAAGTGCATCTTAATGTCATCTCTTCTGGGGAAGCTTTCTTGGGTCATTTTCCTCAGCAGACTTAAAAATTGCTCTATTTACCACTTGATGTACTTATTTTACAGTTCTTACTTGGTTTGCTGGTAATAAAATGTATTTTCCATTTGACATTTTGAACTTCATAAGGGAAATACTTTTAATTCACTCACACATTAATAATTTAGTAAATAAACATTTGTGTAGTGGAGGTTGAATAAGTACGTCAAGTTCTATGATAGCCCAAATTCTGCCAGAATGTGATCCACACAAGGACAGGTTTTTTGTGTGTTTTGGTACCTATGTTTCTCTCTCTCTCTCTCTGTCTCTCTCTCTCTCTCTCTCACACACACACACACACACACACACACACACACACACACTAGAAGTTACTAATTGCTGTGGTTGGGCAATATTTAGAAAGATCAGTCAATGTGAGTTTGTTCTCAAAACCTCTCACTACTATGCAGCCATTTTCCCATTCAGTCACGGAGGCATTATGTATGAATTACCTCAAGTAGGATATTGTACAGAAAAGAATTGCGTAAAGAAGTTAAAAAATATATGAATCGATTCTTAACTTTCATGTTTCAACATCATCAACCTTAAGAGAAGCCAAAAGCATCATATATCCATAAAATGTTTGCAGAAACACGTGAAATTTGAGAAAGTAACACAATTTTAAACTACATTACCAAGACAAGAAATGATTTCTGAGGTCAGAGAAGGAACGCAAAATAGGGGATGGAAGAGATCCTTAACTTGGTAGATCTTGGGAAAGGATATAGTCCCTGAAGGGAGTATGCAGTGAAATTTTGCTTTCATTTTAGCATCTCTAAGCAAAGACAGTGTAGCTCATTCTGAGGAGCCATCAGTTAGCCCGCGTAGTACCCAAAGACCTTCCCTTTTAATGTTTGAGTAAGCCTCCTTGAGTTGTTGAACCTGCCAGGGTATTACATGTTTACTTTTCTGCATAATTTATATTTACTTTTTCCCTGAGATTTTAAAATATTCTTACTCCACTTATTCCACATGGACCAATCCTTTCTTACGAATGGAGGTTGTATGTCTTTCAAATTAGTGTGAAGAAATCAATGGAACTATCTGAATATCTTCTCTAGAACTAGAAAAGTAGTAAAACACATCCCAACCACATAGTCTACTGGGGAATAGAAAAGTCAACAAATAATCCCCATATGGTACCTGGTATTATTATTAAAGAAGTAAAATCAGTTATGGAGAAAACTGACCAGGTGGGCTAAGAACACAGACAAGAAGAGTCAACCAGTCACATTTAACCTTAAATTCAAATGTATATTAATTTAGGACATAATCTAAAATTAACAGAATAGTGGAAAGTTAATCACATACTCGCAAGAATGTGCTGCAAGCAGAAGTAGTAGTGTGTCATATTAAGTATCCTCAAAATAATACGTGCAAAAATACATAGGGTTTACTGGACAGAATACCCAAAATAACATTCTGAAATCTTATTGGAATGACTGATTAACAGGTTAGCCTAATGGAAATGTGTAAAACTGTAAGAGTACACCAAGAGTTCACCTGTGTGTATATGTGTTTGTATTTTTTTGTTTCAAGTTATAAATTAACCTAACAACCCAAACACATTGAAATAAAGAGATGTCCATAAGACAAAATATATAAGGGTTAAAGAAACCATGCATTTAATAAATACAAGTGATGTTTAAAAGTTGCAAGAAAAACCTTTTTAAGATATTAAAAGTCAAAACAGCATGACCTGACTGCCTACAAATTAAAATTTTTGAAAGTTAAAGTCACCATAAAAAATAGATTTATAACAACTAGTGAGATTATTCTTTGCCATATATGTTCAAGTCATATATCTTACTAATAAATAAAATAATTTCATAAATCAGCAAGAAAACAACTATCCAAAGAGAAAAATGGACAAATACCATGAAAAAATCAGTTCACTAGTTTTGAAATGGTTATATACAAATACAATGAAACAAATAAAAAGCACATTTATCCTACTAGTAGCCAAATAAAATTAACACATCCTGTGGTGATATTTTTTATCTCTCAGTCAATCAATTAAAAGGTAACTCATAACGTTATTGAGGCTTCCGAGAAGTGCATATGTAAAACCTTTAAAGTATGTACTAAATAATTAATGATCAATTTTAGGAACCAATTTGAATATTCAAGCATAGATATAGGCAAAAAAATTCCAAGAGGATACTCAAAGTGTTGCTAATAATGATACAAATGTGCAGTCATAAGTGCAAGGGAGTAGTATAGTAGATGAAAGTATCATATTCACATGATGAATTACAAAATTTAGTCATTCATTATGAATCTCTTTAATCAGAAATACCTATTTAGTGCTTACTATTTGTGTCAAGTTTTATGCTAAGCATTGAAGACAAATTATTGAAGGTTCACTGCTAACAGTCACCTGTTGAAAAAAATAAATAATAAAAAAGAACATTATCAGATTTTGATAATAATAGAAAGCACTTATGTGCCATGCTAAAGAATTAGCATATTAGAATAATGTTTTTACAATGGCAAGATAAGGATGACTTCTCAGACCTGAGAACATCAAAGAGATAGGATTGCAGAGGGGACATGTCAACCGGCTAGAATGTGTCTGTGACCTTGCTGTTTTTGAAATAAGAAGTTCCCAACATAATTAGCACACATCTACCAGGCATACTATTACTCTCTATTTGGTTATTAAAATGATAAAGTTCACAAAAGGTTATTTGAAACTTAATACAAACCGTAACAGAAGGTATAGTTCTGTTCCAGAATTGAAGTGTTCTACTTAGTTTCTACGCTATTACCTACAGTGAGCTATGTAACCTCTGTGCCAGAATACAAAATTTGTAACTAAACCAGATTCTTTTTGTTTTCAGAAAAATACTTTTATTTTTGAAATAAAATCTGTCTTTTTTAGTTTTTGATTTAAAACGTAGGAGGCATGGATTTCATTTAGCATTCCCAGACTCAGATTATTGGCTCTCTGTTGAGGTAATTCAGAAAATTTGACAATCCTGTAACTCTGTTGAGATGTTGGCCAATTCTATTGCAATCTTTAATCAAATTATCACAGTACAGTATCTGTGTGTTCTTGTCTATTACTTTTTTTTTTTAATTTTCACAGGTTTTGGGGGGAACAGGTGGTGTTTGGTTGCGTGAGTAAGTTCTTTAGTGGTGATTTGTGAGATTTTGGTGCACCCATCACCCGAGCAGTATACACTGGACCCAATTTGTAGTCTTTTATCCCTCACTCCCCACTCACTCTCTCCTCCAAGTCCACAAACCTTATTGTATCATTCTTATGCCTTTGTATCCTCACAGCTTAGCTCTCACTTGTGAGTGAGAACATATGATGTTTGGTTTTCCATGCTTCACCTCTATCTGACAATCCAGCTCCAGCCTATAATTAAATTGAGGAGGCCAATGAAAGACAGAAAATATAGGATGCTGTGAGTTGAAGGAGTGTAAAGGGAAAACATGTACAACCAGATCATTCATAGAACAAATCTGTTTCTCTTGGAGATTGAAAGGTCCAGTGGATAGTGCCTGATTCACATCTAATAATTCAAAAACTATGCTACTAGTTGGGTTGATGTCATAGCAGAGGTGTCTGGACTTCTTGCATGAGACTTTTTGCATGAACATTTTGCATAAGAAATTGGGTTAGAATTTCCCATGGATCAAGTTTGGGTTAGAATCAGAAGAAAATCTTGTCATTAGATTCTTTGTACTTCTGGTCAGGAAGCCCATCTGATATGGATGGGCAAAATGATGCCAATAGAAAGGATCTGGAGGTGTACCCAGATGGCTAAGGTTGGAGAAAGGAGACGTGCCAATTTGAGAGGCATTCACCCTCCTCAAAAACTCCCTGAGAGTTCTCCAGAAAGGTGAAAAATTCCTGAATAAGAGTGACAATGCCTCAAAGTATGCCTACCTCCTCCTTCCCAGTGGCCCCCAGAAACTCTCTTAAGAGGTACATATCAGTGCTCCCAGAAACTCTCAAGAGGTACATGTTAAGTAAGCCATTCCATTACTTCTCAAAAATCCTTTCCTTCTTGGCTTAGCTTGAAGAAGAGGTACTCTCCTACTAGGAGGACAGTAAATGCCCAGTAATCCTTACTACAATTGTAGCTTTATATAAACAAAGTTTTAATAATTATGTCTTTTTAATTAATAAAATGCTTATTTTCCTGTATATAGCTTATATACAGTAGTCAAACAATGAGCTATGGGTAAAAAATAGTTGCATTTTATCTCTTAGCTTTACTGCTAGGTATTTGGTGCCTATTATTCTCAGCTAACTAAGCCTCTATAAAAATATTTAATGGGAAAATAGATTTTATATAAACACACACACACACACACACACACACACACACACACACACACATCCTTACTAAAATACAAGTCTCATGAGACAGGGATTTTTGGTCTATTTCCCTGCATCACCAGTGCCTGGAACATGGAATATTCAACAAATGTTTGTTGAATAAAATTAACCAAACTCACCCTTAAAACATCCTCACTTAAAATAAAAATAATACAAACATTTCGACAATTTTTATCACCTAAATGATAAAGCTTATATTAAAATAGCTACAAATGTAATTAAATAAGAAGAAGGTAGAACACATCTCTATTTCTAGCTTTCTTCCTGTTTATAAGAGAAGGTAGAAGTAATAAATTTTGACAATTATATGTTAACGTACTTAGAAAATTCAAGGGAATCAACTAAAGTAGCATGAGAATTGATAAGAAAATGTAACAAGGCAATAAATAAAAGTATCATAAATAATTCATTTAAAAAATCATGTTGGAAACAATATTGACAGACTAAGTCAAACTGCCGGATGATTCTTTCCCAACATAGAAGTTTCTTTCATAATAGGTGCTTCTTTATATTCAATATGATGTATAAATTTGCATTTGTGTGATTATTTGACTGCTGTTTTTCTCCACAGCTGGTGGTAAACCACAAGGACAGGGACTATCTACAAGTATATAAAGAAATCCCAGGGCTTAGCAGAGTGCCTGCTGCACAGTGAACATTCAATATATTTTGGAGAATGAATGAACAATGAATAGAATCAACACAAATGAATAAAACAATGAATTACTGACAATCCATAGTAGACATAAGATCAAGACTGCAGTCCCTAGCATCACGAGTGCTGACTATTTCAGACAGTATATATTCATCTTCACATTATGGGATGACAATTTCCATAAATTGGTCAGAAACATGACTTGAATAGCCTCTGAGTGTCCACAACCTCTAAAATGTTAAAAACGTAAGTCTGTTTTCACGAGAAATATGTGTATTAATACCAAATGACAATTATAATAAAAGACTTACAGTGAAAAGCAAGACAAAAAGAAAACAAGCGTAGTACTTGAATATATTTATTTATGAACTGCACAAATACTCAGTATTTTTAACTTCCATGGTAAGTTTATAAATCAACATTCCGCTGCATATTATTTTGTGGTTGGATCAATGGAGATAAAATAAAATAGCTCAGGCTATGTTCCCAAAAGACATATAGTTTTGAATGGCACACAACAACATTTATTTTGGTGACAAATGTAAATGTAACTTCTATGAGGTTTATAATAAAGGTATAATTTGGAAATTACTAAAATTAAGAACTAAGATTTCTTCACCTGATTTTTTTCAAGATTTATTTTTTTTAAAATTTTCATGATTTTTTATCTAAGCAATTTCAAAGTTTTTATATTTACTTCACAAGAAGCTAGCATTTTATCAGGATAAAAGTTGACTGGTATTAATAAATAGTAATCTTTCAATCAATTGAATAATTCTCATTGTCCCTTACTAGAAATTTTTCAGCTAAAATATATTTTATTTTCAGGTTATTCCTGAAGAGTTGACATTTTCTACATTTAAATTAATTATTTTATATCACTTACTGATTGTCTTTTTATATGCTTTACAAATGAAACATAAATTGAGATGATGTATTACTTATTTTTGAATGAGAAAAATATTGCTTGTGATTAAAAATCAGTACTATTTTGTTACATTTAACAGGAAAAACTCAGCTTGTCCCTTTTCATTTTTTTACAGCAAGAGTACTTAGATAAATTGACTCAAAGTACAAAACAATGAGTAATGTGCAGCTTGAATAATCCCCTATAAGATGAATGAAAGCTGACAACTTCAATTACAATTTGAACTGTCTCTTTGTATATAAATGTGATTTAATGGAAATCTGATATTCAATAAACCTGGCTTTCTTTATGATTTATATTAGCTAGCCTTAGGTTACCCAATGCATTTTATAGCATAAAATGACAAGATGCCCTCTTCTAATGATATGCAAAATTCTCAGTCAACAAAGAATCCAAGCATCTTTTCTTTCTGATCAAAAAGAAACATGTATGACCTTACTGAACTAATATTTTACTGCACACTCTGAGTCCTGCCCAAACCCTCTTTTATTTTTCTTGAAGCAACTCGCATTATGTTTAATAATTTTTCTATATTTCATTTAATTTATTCAAACTCACATGTGTTTAAGGTATAGTAAAAATAAAGTTCTCCCAGGATATATTTTCGAGAAGCCTGATATCTATACACATGACCCAACCTGAAGTCATAAGTATCTTTTCATCCCAATTTAGTATGCTATACAGAGAGAAATATAAACAGGAATACGTTTATAAGTACTTTGCACCAACCTAATAAATGTATTCTTATTCATATATTTCTCTGAAAAAACCTACTGGAAAATGTCACATATTATGACTTTACCTAGTTCTGTAATAACCATCATATTCTAATTCTATGTAAAAATGCATACTCACGTAATTTTAGAAAATGTGATTGCAGATAAATGATAAGTGTTCCAGGAAGCATATTTAGTGCTTACCATGGCTTACCTCGTTGACCTTAAAATTTTTTAATTGATACATAATATTCGTACATATTTATGGGGTACATGTGATGTTTTGTAACATGCAGAGAAAGTCCAATGATCAAGTCAGGGTATTTAAGAATTTTTCATTCCTTTCTAGGTATTGGGAATATTTAAAATTCTCTCTTCTGGCTATTTTGAAATACAAAACACGTTATTGTTAACCACAGTCACTCTACTCTGCTATTGAACATTAGAACTTATTCTTTATATCTCCCTATATGTGTGTGCCCATTAGCAAACCTTTCTTCATCTCACCCCACACACACACTGTTCCCAACCTCTGGTAACTAACATTCTAGTCTCTACCTCCATGATCTCAACCTTTTTAGCTCCCACATAGGAGTGAGAACATGCTATATTTGTCTTTCTGTGTTATTTCTATGCTATTTCACTTAACATAATGACCTCCACTTTCATCCATGTTGCTGCAAATGACAGGATTTCATTCTTTTGTATAGTTGGAGAATATTCCATTATTTGTGTATATATAAATATTTACATGTAGCATATTTTCTTTATCCATTCATTCACTGATGAACACTTAGGTTGATTCTATATCTTTGCTATTGTGAAAAGTGCTGTGATAAACACAGGGGTGCAAGTATCCTTCTGACATACTGATTTCCCCTTTCCTTTGGATAAATACCTGGTATTGGAATTGCTGGGTCATACTGTAGTTCTATTTTTAGTTTTTTGAGCAGTCCTCATACATTTTCCATAATGGCTATACTTACATTCCCACCGACAATGCATGAGTTCCCTTTTTTTCTGCATTCTTGCTAGCATATGTTATTTATTGTCTTTTAGCCATTCTAACGGGTGTAAGATAATATCTAATTGTGGTTTGGATTCTCATTTCCCTGATAATTAATGTAGTTAAATATTTTTTTTTTCCTATCCCTTTTGACCATTGGTGTGTCTTCTTTGGAGAAATTCCTATTCAGATCCTTTGCCCACTTTTTAATGGGATTATTTATCTATTTTCCTGTTGAGTTGTTTGATTTCCTTGTATATTCTGTATATTAGTCCCTTGCCAGATAGTTTGCAAATATTTTCTCCCAGTGACAAGTTGTTTCTTCACTTTGTTAATTGTTTCCATTGCTGTGCAGAAGACTTTTACTTTAATATAGTTTCATTTGTCTATTTTTGCTTTAATTGCCTGTGCCTTTGGGGTTTTAGCCATAAAATCTTAGCCTAAACCAATGTTCTAGAGTGTTTCCCCTATGTTTTCCTCTGGTAGTTTTATAATTTGGGGTTTTATATTTAAGTTTTTGAACCATTTTGAGTTGATATTATATAGAGTGAGAGGTGGGATTTTAGTTTCATTCTTCTGCATAGGGATATCCACTTTTCTCAGCACCATTTATTGAAGAGGGTTCCCTTTTATCAATGTATGGTCTTGGTACCTTTATCAAAGATCAGTTATCTGTAAATACATGGATTTATTTCTGGGTTCACTATTCTTTTCCTTTGTCTATGTGTCTGTTTTTATGTCAATACCATGTTGTTTTTGTTACTATAGATTTGTAACATATTTTAAAGTCAAGTAGTGTGATAACTCCAATTTTGTTACTTTTGCTCAGGATTTCCTTGGTTGTTCAGGCTGCTTTTTGATTCCATACAAATTGTAGGGTTGTTTTTCCTATTTCTGTAAAAACCTCATGGGTATATTGACAGAGATTGTATTGAATCTGTATATTGCTTTGGGTAATATGGTCTTCTAATTCATAAGCATGAGTTGTCTTTTTAGTTGCTGTCATCTTCAATTTTTTTCATCAATGTTTTGTAGTTTTTCTTGGAGAGCTTTTTCACTTTCTTGGTTAAATCTATTCCTAGGGTTTTTTTTTTTTTGTTTTTTTTTTTGTAGCTATAGTAAATGAAATTGCCTTATTGAGTTATTTTTCAGCTAGTTCATTATTAGATATGCTAGTGATTTTTATATCCTGAAACTTTACTGAATTTGTTTATTTGATTTAAGAGGGTTTTTTTGGTAGTCTTTAGGTTTTTCTAAATGTAAGATCATATCATCTCCATAGAGGAGTAATTTGACTTTCTCTTTTCCTGTTTGCATGCCTTTTCTTTCTTTCTCTTGCCTGACTGCTCTGGCTAAGACTTCCTGTACTACGTAGAATAAGAGTGATGAAAGTGGTCATTCTTGCCCTGTTCCAATTCCTAGAGAAAAGGCTTTCAGCTTTACCCCATTCAGTATATTAGCTGTGGGTTTTTATACATAGCCTTTATTATGTTGAAGTATGTTTCTTCTATGTCTAATTTGTTAAGAAGTTTTACTATAAAGGGATGTTGAATTTTATCATGTGCTTTTTTGCGACTATTGAGATGATCATATGGATTTTGCCCTTCATTCTACTGATGTGATGTATCACATTTGATTTGCATATGTTGAACCAGTTTTGTGTAACTGGGATGAATCACACTTGATTATGGCGTATTATCTTTTTGATGTGCTGTTGGATTCAGCTTGCTAATATAGTTTCGGAATTTTAGCTTCTACGTTCATCAGAGATATTGGCCAGCAGTTCTTGTTGTTGTTGTCTCCTTGTCTGGTTTAGGCTTCAGGTTAATGCTGGCTTCCTAGAATGACTTAGGGAGAATTCTCTATTCTTTAATATTTTGGAACAGTTTAGGAGAATTGGTGTTAGTTCTTTACAGGTTAGTTCAGTTAGCAGTGAAGCCATCCAGTATTGAGCTATACTTTTTTTGGCAACTTTTTAATTTTTATTACTGATTCAATCTCATTATGATTTTTGGCCTGTTCATGTTTTCTATTTCTTCCTGATACAGTCTTGGTCAGTTTTATGTTCCAGAAATGCATCCATGTTCTCTATGTTTTCCAGTTTATTTGTGTATAGTTATTCATAATAGTCTTTGATAATCTTCTGAATTTCTGTGGTATCAGTTGTAATTTATCCTTTTTCATTTCTGATTTTATTAGGATCATTTTTCTTTTTTTCCTTGGTTAGTATAGCTAGAGGTCTACAAATTTATTTATCTTTTCAAAAAGCCAACTTTTCATTGTGTGGATCCTTTGTATTGTTTATTTAGACTCCTTTTTGTTTTATTTATTTCTGACTTTTATTTCTTTTTACTAATTTGGAGTTGGGTTTGTTCTTACTTTTCTAGATTTTCAAGATACACTGCTAGATTCTTACTTATTTTTTTCTCTTTTTTATGATGTAGACATTTATTGCTATAAACTTTCTCCTTAGCACTGCTTTTGCTGTATTTCATAGGTTTTGGTATGTTGTGTTTCAATTTTCATTTGTTTTAGTTTTTTTTTGTTTTGTTTTGTTTTTTGTTTTTGAGACTGGGTCTCACTTTGTCTCCCAGGCTGGATTTCAGTGGCGTGATCTTTGCTCACTGTAGCCTCGACCTCCTAGGCTCAAGCAATCCTCCCACCTCAGCCCCTGTAGTAGCTGGGACTACAGGATTGCACCACTACACCTGGCTAAATTTTTGTATTTTTTGTAGAGCTGAGGTTTCACTGTGTTGCCCAGGCTGGTCTCAAATTCCTAAGCTCAAGCAATCTGCCCACCTCAGGTTCCCAAAATGCTAAGATTATAGGCATGAGCCACTGCACTTCTCCTGTTTTAAGACAAAAAAAAAAAATTCTTCTCAATTTCTTTGTTGACTTAATGGTTGCTCAGGAGCATGTTGTTTAATTACCATGTATTTTTACAGTTTCCAAAGTTTCTCTTGTTATTGATTTCTAGTGTTATTTTATTGTTGTCTGAGAAGATACTTGATGTGATTTTTACTTTGAAAAAATTTTTAAGACCTATTTTGTGGCCCAACATATGATTTATACTGGATAATACTGCATATCCTGATGAGAAGAATGTGTATTCTGTAGCTCTTGGATAAAATTTGTGTCATCCTGAAAGCGGGGTGTTGAAGTACTCAACTATTATTATAATGGAATCTATCTCTCTCTGTAGATCTGGCAATATTTGCTTTATATATATGGGTGCTCTGGTATTGGTTGCATATATATTTAGAATTGCTATATCCTCATGCTGAATTAATTTATTGATCATTATATAATGACTTTCTTTGTTCCTTTTTTTCTGCTTTTGACTTAAAATCTGTTTATCTGATGTAAGTATGGCTACTCTTGCTTGCACATGGGTTCCATTTTTATGGAACATCTTTGTCCATTCCTTTACTTTCAGTCTATATGTGTATTTACAGGTGAAATTGGTTTCTTGTAAACAACATACAGTTGCATAATGCTTTTTTATCCATTCTTCCAGTGTATAACTTTTAAGTGGAAAATGTAATTTATTTACATTAAAGGTCACTATTGATATGTGAGGACTTATTTCTGCCATTTTTTTGGTGTTCTCTGGCTGTTTAATATATCCTTTGTTTCTTTCTTTCTCTCTGATCTTTTATTATTGTGGTTTGTTAGTTGTCTGCAGTAGTAACATTGTCATTTTTCTTCCTCATTTGTGTGTTTGTTCTATCAGTAACATTCATATTTTTATATGTTTTCACGATGGTAGATATTATTCTTTTGCTTCCAGATATAGGACTCCCTTAAGTATTTCTTGTATGGCTGGTTTAGTGGCGATGGATTTTTTTTAGATTTTTTCTTCTCTGGAAAAACTGTATTTCTCTTTCATTTATGAAGGACAGATTGCTGAGTGTAGTATTCTTGGCTGAAAGGTATTTTTGTTCCTTTTTTTTTTTTTAACACTTTGAATATATCATCCCATTCTCTCCTGACCTGCAAAGGTTTCCGCCGAGAAATTCACTGTTATTCTGATGGGGATTCCCTTATATGTAACTAGACACTTTTCTCTTGCTGGTTACAAAATTCTCTCTTTATCTTTGATATTTGATGTTTTAAATATACTGTACCCTGGAGAAGACTTTTCTGGCTTATTTCCATTTGGAAATTTCTAAGCTTTCTGGATTCCTAAATCTCTTGTCAGACTTGGAGAGTTTTCAGTTGTTAATTTTTTTAAAATGTCTTTGGCTTTCTCTTCACCTTCTGGAATTTGCAACAGGATATCACATATATCATATATGTTTTGCTTATTCTTTTTTATTCTTTCTTCTTTTTTTTTTGGTTTGACTAATTATTTTGAAAAACTTGTCTTCAAATTTTGAAATTATTTTATCTGATTGATTTAGTTCATTGTTGAAGCTCTTAATTTCATTTGTTGAATTCTTCGGTTCCAGGACTTTTGTTTGGTTTTTTATAATATCTAGCTTTTTTGTAAATTTCTCATTCATATCCTAAATTGTTTGCTGGTTTCTTTGTATTGTTTATTTGTGTTCTCTTGTATGTCACCAAGCTTCTCTAGTATCATTATATTGAATTTTTCACACATTTTATAAATTTATTTTTCATTGGCATCTATTGCTGGAGAATTATTCTATTTCTTTAAAGGTGTTATATTTCCTTACTTTGTCATGTTTCTTGTGTCCTTACATTGATAGCTGTGCATTTGATGTAATTATCACTTCTTCCAATTTTTTTGGAATGGCTTTCATAGAGAAAGTCTTTTTCCTGAAGTTATAACTATGGTGTTGGTTGGGTAGCACGTGTTGGCTTTGATCCTGGATGCCTGAAGTAGTGTAGTTTTTGTATGACTTCTTCAGCTATAAATAATGTCAGTGTTGTCTGTGATTCCACAGTGGCTTACTGGTTGTTACTGGATGCTGTGGTTGTTACTGGATGCTGTAGTTAGGCTTTGCTGGAAATGGGGAGGTCAGTTGGGCCAGTCTTCAGGCTTTAGTGGTGACAACAGTGGGCCAAGTTTATCTCCCCTTGGGCCCTGGGTACATATGTTGGC
Source organism: Homo sapiens (assembly GCF_000001405.40). Lineage (NCBI taxonomy): Eukaryota > Metazoa > Chordata > Mammalia > Primates > Hominidae > Homo > Homo sapiens. Next base: position 23,105,893 of record NC_000005.10, on the reverse strand, counting down.
ACTGATGTTAGCGGGATTAAGTAGTCTGATGCTTGGGTCTCAGAGCAGCTTGCTCAGGTGCCAGTAGCATTAACGGTGAGTTGGGTATGTGAGTGGGTCATCGGGTCCTTGGGCAGCCTGCATGACATGGGGAATGATCATAGCAGTAGCAGGACAATATTCAGTCTCCAAGGCAGCATGTGCTGGTGTTAGTAGTGGCTGTGATAGGCTGGGTGGACCAGGTGGCATGTGCAGGTGGGTGCTAGTGTTGGTGGTAGTGGCAGGTTGAGTGGGCCCATCCTCAGAACCTTGGGAGGAGTCCATAGACGCTAGCAGTAGAGGATAGGGAAGGGAGGTTTCAGGCCTCCACGCAGCATGCTTGTGCACTGGGATGGTGATACCAGCCTGGGCAAGCCAATTTTCAGTATTCTAATGGTGCACGTGGGCAAGGATTTAGTGGAAAAGGTGTAACTTATCTGAAGGCCCCTGGGTAGCATGATTGGGTGGAGGTAGCAGTGGTAGCAGTGGGTGGGAAGAGCCTGTCCTCAGGGAATGTGAAAGTATACTGCTGCCCTGCTGCCTGCAAGGATGGCGTTGCTGTTAGTGGCAGTAGCCCCAGGCAAGGGGCTCTCAGGCTTTGTGCATGTTTTGGCCCCCAGTGTGGAGTCAGCAGCGGCAGTGGTGGTGGCAGGCCAAGAGAGCTTGTCCTCAGGGTACATGCAATTGCACAGCAGTTCTGTTTCTGGTGTGGGTGGCATTACTCTCAGTGGCAATGGCCAGGTGGCTTTCAGGCTCTGAACAGTACACATTTTTGCTCCTGTTGTCCCAAGACCAGCCTACTACCTGTACTACACTGCCATTTTCCAAGGCATAGGACACTGTGCAGCTTAGAGCACTGGGAACCCTGCAAGACTTCTGGGTTCAATTGACATCCCACCACTGAAGCCCTTTGGGTGGATGTGGAGGGATATCCTATGGGGCTCCAGGGATATGGAGTTTCAGGAACTGTTGAGCCCCAGGGCAGGATGCTGTCTTGTCAGGGCTTCGTTCTCAAAATGGTACCATGTTCCAACTGCTTGGGTCTCAGAAGATGCGCGGGACCCATCATGATCTCCCTCCAAAGCAATGATGTTTTACGGACTCCAGGTAGCTCCCAGACTGGTCTCAGGGCTCACAGGAATCAAAAGCTTCTCCTGTGGCTAGGATTGTGGGAATATGGACGGCTGGGGATCTCTCACTTACCTTTTCTCCACATGGCAAGCCTCTTCAGGGTCCCAGGTGATCCCAGGTAGGCAGGGTGCCTCACTTCCCTCTCCTTCTATTCCTCAGGTTTTTCCTGGGAATATCATTATATTATTGATATCATTATAGAATATCATTATATCTTGTAGCTGCTGTTTTCAAAGTGTGATTATCTATTTGCTATTTTTGTTCTTCTCTGTGGAGGAGGCTAATGTCAGATGACTCTAGTCAGTCATCATCCTGAAGCCCCCTCTCTCACTGACTTTTTAACAGCAACAATATTAGGATTTATTATTACTACCATTGTAAAATAAAAATTTTGAAATTTACAGAGGATAACTTTCCCAGTTGGCACAATTAGTAAGTGGTAGAATCAGGATGCAAATTGATATCTACATAATATAAGATGATTGCGTACATATTTTAATTCGAGAGAAAATTTTTATTATTTATAGAATCCTGAATTAACTGAACCCGGTTACTTTGTGTTTGCTACCTAAGGATCCAGTTGTCTATCTGTAAATCTATTAATCTGTCTAGCTACCTATCATCTATAAATCTATCATTACTGGAGGTTAGGTTCCCTGCAAGCTGATTCTGAGACTTAGATTAGCAGGCAGAGTATTTATTACTGTACACTTTTAGGATCAAATCCCTGGAAGAAAAAGGAAAGAAGCAGGGCTGATTAGAGAAAGACGTTTGGGTGAAAAGAAGGTTCAATGAAAAACTAGCTGTACATGGGGAGCTCTCAAGTTTCAGTGGATCTTCCTAAGTGTCCAAGTATGGTCAAAAAATTATATTTTTATTGTCCTTCATAGCCAGTCCCAGGGTGGAGGCTTCCAGGGGAGCATATGTGACCTTTTTTTTAACCAAGTTAATTTGGAAGAGTGCTGACAGCTGAGGGCTCTCTGCCAACAATACTCCTATCAGCCATTGGAAATAGACCCTCAGCCTGAAGGAGGAACTGAGCTGTGAATCATAACATCCACCATACTCACATACATAAAGGTAACTCTATACAATTACACTTTATAGAATTACGCACATATAACACACAACATATATTTTAGGGGTAGATGCACCAAAAACCAGGTTAAAGCACATTCTTATGAAATAAGCCTAAAGCTTTGCATTTTATTCATAATATAGAATATACACTTCATTGAGAAAATAATAGTAGAGAAAAAACACAAAAGCATTTCTTATCTTAGGGGTCAATGAGATATGTCTATTTATTAACAATTTTAAGGCAGAAGTGAAGAATTTAGACTTGTCACTACATCTGTCCAGTAAAGCTAAATGCATTCTGTGGAACTGAGAAAAACTGAATTCAGCTTCAGGGGCTAAGAAAAGTTTATCTAAATGGGTAGATTATACATTAAAACTTCACATATGGTTAATTATATATTGGCCTTGTTTTTCTACAGAAACCTGACTAAAACAGATTTTGGTGCTGAGAGTGGTTGTACAGATTTTTAAATTGTCTCTGTGGTTTCTGGATTTGGCTGTCTAATATAATTGGCTTTTAAGATGCCAATAACTATTTGTAGTAGTGAAGGAAGCATTCTGGCAATAGAGATACTAGAGATACACAAAATATCTACATTGAATACTCTTTTTTTTTTTTTTACTGGATCTCACTTTATTGCCCAGGCTAGAGTACAGTGGTGTGATCTCAGTTCACTGCAAGCTCCATCTCCTGGGTTCAAGAGACCCTCCTTCCTCAGCTTCCTGAATAGCTGGGACTACAGGCACACATCACCATACTCGGCTATTTTTGTTTGTTTGTTTGTTTGTTTGTTTTCAGGAGAGATGGGGTTTTGTCATGTTGCCTGGACTGGTACATTGGATATTCTTAACCAGCGCTAATAAGATACAAGGAACCAAATGACCGTGTTTATGACATTGTTGAATATTTTTGGAAAACTAATAAATCTAACAAGATTCGTTGGTTGCTCCTAATGTTGCCTGAATAAGTGGTTAAAAAAAAAAGGGAGGACCTTGGGGAATTAAATTTCCTGCTTAAGTGCCATATTAATGACCTGAAGGCATCTTTGTGTGCCCTGAAAGACATTCCAATATCCTGTAGCAAAGGGGCTGAGATTGTTGAAAATCAAACACTTAATCTCATCTTATGACTGGCTGAATTAACAAGTTGAACTCCTACCTTTAGAGTAGACATCTTACACAACAACTGCTGTTAAAGTTAGGGCATTAATAGGGAAGGTATGAGATTTTAAAATTTGGAATGTGGATATGTGGAAAGACCCTGAACTTTGGCATATAGAACCCTTAAATTCTGATGACTTCTTTGACAGTGGAAGAAGCCTCTCCACCAAAGTTGCCTCCTCACCCCCAGTGCAAACAACTTTCTGGCCTGTGGCAACAGCGTCTTCACCAGTGTCTGAAAGAATTAGCTCGCATTGCCTGAGGAAACTATAATGATGTTTCCTGAGGCAGTTGCCATGTAAGTAAATGTTAGTTCTCCTCAGGACCCACCCCATCCTCCTCGGAAATCTAAGCAAAATGTCTGGAAATAGACATTGAGGGTGTGAGAAAATGGTGGAAGGAAAATAAAGTTGAATCAGGCTGAATTATTGATATGTGCTCACAAAGCAAAGATTCTGCGTTTATTTATTTATATTTATTTTATTAATTTTTTAAAAATTTTGTTTCAGAGGGTACATGTACAGATTTGCTATGTGGCTAAATTGTGTGACTCTGAGGTTTGGGGTACAAATGATACCATCACCCAGATAGTGAACATAGTACCCAATAGGTAGATTTTCAGCCTTTGCCCCTTCCCAACGTCCCCTCTCTAGAAGTCCCCAGCGTCTATTTTTCCCATTTTTATTTCCATGTGTACTCAGTGGTTAGTTCTCACTCATAAGTGAGAACATGAGTATTTGGTTTTCTGTTCTTACATTAGTTTGCGTAGGATATTGACCTCCAGATGCATCCATGTTGCTTCAAAGAACATGATTTCATTCTTTTTTATGGTTGTATAGTATTCCATGGTGTATCAAAACCACAGTGAGATACTATCTCACACCAGTCGGAATGACTATTATCAAAAAGTCAAAAAGAAAAAAAAACAGATGTTTGAGATATTGTGGAGAAAAGAGAATGGTTATACACTCTTGGTGGAATTTTAAATTAATTCAGCCACAGTGGAAAGAAGTTTGGAGATTTCTCAAATAACTTAAAACAGAACTACCATTTTACTCAGCAATCATTCTACTAAAAGGATACATGCACTAGTATGATCATCACAGCACTATTCACAATAGCAGAGACTCTGCATTTAATGTTGCAATTTTGAGCTTCAGGAAAGCTCTGACAATTTATTTGGTTACTTGAAATATAAACCATATATGGCCCACAGTGAGTAAATCAGAAATGCTGGATCTGCCTTGGTTTGATGTACAGGAATGAATTTGAAAGTTAGAGATATTTATCTACACTGGGAAGGGCCAAAAGACCTTTCACCACAACTGTGAGGAATATATTTGTGAGGTGAGGCTGAAAGTATCCTTGAAAGCTCTGTGATAGCTCTTCTCTGTAGAGCAGAACTTACAGTGAAAAATTTGGTTACTGAATTGGGAAACCTAAATACAGTGGTAGTAATTGGATCCTTGGGGGGCAGGGGCCACGTAGGGCAATGTGTACATGGTGACTACACTGAATAGGAGATCAAAGTAGCAATCAGAATAGTCTGATTTACGCAGACTTGTGACATTGGCTACTTGATGGTGGTGTTTCTAGAAGTGAAATAGACAGAAATCTTACTAAATCTTACTTAATCTTTGTAAGCAGAAAAGTTTTAGGTCAAGTGAACAAAAGCTTAGCCTATATTTGCACCCACAAAAGACTAAAGAAAAGAAACTAGAGAGAGAGAGAGAGAGAGAATCATGGACTCCAAATTAAATCCTAGACTTGAGTCAGTTTACACACCCTGAACCCCTTGAATGAAGAAGTCAGGTTTTCTCGAAGAAGGACCTGATACACTACTGAAAATGCATATTGTTACTCACTCTTTCAGCCTTTCTCAAAGAGACCTAAAACCCTTTACGAGGATAACCATAAATTTGGAAAAAGGCAATAATCAGAACTTTTGGGAACTACTGACACTGTCTCTGAACTGACACTAATTCCAGGAGAACCAAAACACCATTGTGTTCCACCAGTCAGAGTAGGACTTTCTGGCTGCTAGACGACTAATAGAATTTGAGCTTAGGTCCATCTCAGAGTGGGCTCAATAACTTTGGTTATTTCCCCAGGTGGGAAATGCGGAGTTGGAATACACAGATTCAGCAGCTGGCAGTCACCACATTGGTTCCTTGACCTATTGGATGAGGGCTCTTATGGTGAGAAAAGCCAGGTGAAAACTACTAGAATTATTATTACCTAGGAAACTAGGTTCTCCTGAAGGCTGGACAGTCATTGCTCTGTATCCACAGGGAATTACTTCCAGGATTCCCTATGGATATCAGAATCAGAGGATGTTCAAGTCTCTTACGTAAAATGGTGTAGTAATTGCATATAACCTAGAACATCCTCTCAGATATTCTGAATCATCTGCAGGTTCCTTATAAAATCTAATACAATGTCAATGTTATATAAGTAGTTGTCATACTGTATCATTTTTACTTAATATTATTTGTTATTGTATTTTTACTTAAAAAATAATTTTGATTGGCAGCTGGTTGAAATCTGATGATGCAGAACTTGCAGATATGGAGGGCAAACTGTAATTGCTCTAAATCATCATCTGAAATGTGGTACTATTTCTCTCATAACCAGGATTCTTGAGTCAAGAAATCAAAAGGTAAAAATGGGAATGGCATCACTCATTATTACCTATAGCAATCCACTAGCAAAATTTTATTTCCTGTTTCTACAACTTTAAGTTCTTCAGTCCTAGGTGTCTTAGTTCTAGAGGGAGGAATGTTTCCATCAAAACACACAACAATGGTTCCATTAAACTGAAAGTTATGACCATCACCCGGCCACTTTGGTTCCTCATGCATCTGAGTCAACAGGCATATAAGGGAGTCACAGTGCTGGCTGGAGTTATTGATCCTGACCACCGTGGGGAAATTAGACTACTACTCCACAAGGGAAGCAAGGAAGAGTATTCTGAAACATAGGAAATCTTTGAGGATGGCTCTTAATGTCCTGCTCATGTCTTGTGATTAAGTCAGAAAAATTCCAAGAACCTATTCCAGGAAGAAGGACTACTAATAGCCCAGACTCTTCAAGAATGGTAGTTTGGCGGTAGTTTACCACCAGGTAAAGAAACATAACCAGCTGAGGTAAAGAAAATATAGAGTGGATAGTGGAAGAGAGGTCTAAATATCAGTTATGACCACATGACCTGTTACAGAAATGAAGACTGTAATTGTCATGAATATTTCATCTTTCTTTTGTTATAAGTATATTTGTGTATGAAAATATATACAAGATAGTTTTGCTGTCTTCACTCTCTTATTCCCCTACATGTAACATATGATGTATTAACTTTACATCAGCATTATGGATATCATTGGCTTGTTCCCAATTTTTATGGTTACTTTTCTGTGTCAACTTGACTGAGCCTTGGACAGCCCAGATAACTGGCTATACATTATTCTGGTTTTGTGTGTGACGGTGTTTCTGGATGAGTTTATCATTTGAGTTGATAGACTGAGCAAAGCAGCTTGTAGGCACACCTCATCCAATCCATTGAAAGCCTGAAAAGAACAAAAATACTGAGTAAAGAAGAATTTGGAGTCTCTCACTGTCTTCAAAGTGGAACAGCCCCCTTTTCCTGCCTTTGCACTAGGACTCAGACTGAAACTTACACCATCAGCTGTCTTGGTTTTTGGGCCTTCAGATTCAGACTCGTACTGTATCTAATTGCTTGTTTAGATTTCCTGCTTGCCAAATACAGACCTTGGGATTTCTCATTTTTCATAATCACATGACCCAATTTCTTACAATATCTATCTATTGATAGCTTTCTCCATCAATCTCTCTATCTATCTATCTCCTATTGGTTCTGTTTACCAGGAGAATCCTGAGTCCTATATTCCCATCTGTTTGATTTTCTTACATGCCTTGTTCAAGTGAGGAAGGCTCAGAAATGGAAAATACAAGGTTAGTAATTTCCAAATATCAAAAAATAGAAGCAGTTAGAATTTAAGAATTATTTAGACATTAAGAATTATTTAAGACAAACAATAATAAACCCTCATAATATCAAGGGAACCTAAAGAATTGGAGTAAGACAGTATCCTGATGTGTACAGAGTTGGAGTATTTTATCCTGAGTGAACATAAAGAAAATAACTCAACAGCAGTGGTGAGATAGAGACACAATAGCTGCTTCAGCATTGTCTATATCTAGTCACCATTAGTCTGAAACCGTGGCAAGGACGTCTATTTTTGTATCATTGTTAATAACTGAACAGATCTTATAGGAGGAGCGAAAGTCAGAAACAACTGTGAAATGGATCTTATATTATAAAAGGAAGAAAAAATGTTCACAAACAGTTATTCAATTGCCGAAGGAAAAAATACTCAGAAACTAAAATAGTTTATAAATACTCACAAGCAATTCAAAATGCACTTCTAGGTAGATAATAGTGCCTCCATTCTTCCTTCTTCCCCAAATAAAATGTCATATAAAAACAAATCCTAGGTAAGGGCAACAGTTCTTGCCCATTCTTCCCATTTTTCTCTATTTGAGTCATTGCCATCACCTCTAGTTCAGTGGTGTAATTCTTTCTTCCATTAACTTTAATAGGCTTTATACCAATGTTAAGCAATGGGATCATTTTACACTGACTGGGTTGATGAAAATACCTCCACTCAATTAGTTTCTCAATACTGGAATACTTTGAAATGAAGAAGAAATAGGCAATCTGAAAACCCTAAGCTGAAAATTAGGTAAAACTGTCTCTATTTTAATATTCCATGATGTTTGCAAAAATTACAAATTTTTCTGTAATTACAGTGAGGAAAATGGATTGAACAAATATCTGGAGAATAGATCATATATACTATCCTTCACAGATGGAATATTTGTAAAACTATACAGGTAGTTTTTAGCATGTGTCTTGGAATGAAGTCCCAAATATTGGGGATTTTTGCATTTTGTCGTTATGGTTTCCCTTATAGTTTCAAACAAATATTTTATCTCATATAAAATCGAGATAAGATTATTACATGAATGCGTTAGTTTATAGAAATTGTGCTCTTGCTAAAATGTATATGATCCTCAAGTATTTCTTATCTGTAATATACTAAAATACTGTTTGAACATTAGATTGTATTTTAACTATTATGAAGAATTGGTTACATTGGAAAGAGTTGAAAGAAAAATAAACTATTGTTTAGTTTTTTAATGATTCATTACAGAAAAATCAACTATTTTTATTTTTTAATGATTCTTTAAAATCATATGTAAATATGCAACTTCAGGGTATTATAAAATTACAACAAATAAGAATACACAATACATTTTACTGAAGAGGCAAAACTAATCATTATTTTCTATCTCCACGTCAATTAAAAACACACATCTGCATTAGCCTTATCTATTTATGTGCACTACAAATGAATATGCATGCTTCTATTCACATATACACATGTGCACACAAACATAATTACAATGTTAAGTTTATTCAACAAATTTGTCCAAGTTTGAATTAATCATTTTTTTAAAGATTTTTTTTTAAGTGCAAGGGTGCAAGTGCAGGTTTGTTACACAGGTAAACTTGGGTCATGGGGATTTGTTGTACAGATTATTTAATCACCCAGGTATTAAGCCTAGTACCCATTAGTTACTTTTCTTGATCCTCTTCCTCTTCTCACCCTCCACCCTCTGAAGGGGCCCAGTGTGTTTTGTTCCCCTTTATGTGTCCATGTGCTGTCATCACTTAGCTCCCACTTGCAAGTAAGAACATGCAGTGTTTGGTTTTCTGTTCCTGGGTTAGTTTGCTAAGGATAATGGCCTCCAGTTCCATCTACATCCCTGCAAAGGACATGATCTAGTTCTCATTTATGGTTGCATAGTATTCCATGATGTGTATAGGTACCATATTTTCAATCACCTTTATCCCTAGGCAATCAAGAATAATTTCTAGGTGTTTGGATTTTCATGAATAAGTAGCTGAATACTCTATCATAGGAGCATACAAATATTCAGTAAAAATGATTCATTCAGGCAATGATTCAATCAGTAAAAATAAATCAACCATTTTTACCGAATATATGTATGCTCCTCTGACAGAGCATTCAGCTACTTATTCATGAAAATCAGAATGCCTAGAAATTATTTTTTATAGCCTAGGGCTAACAGAAATTGTTTTATTGTGAGTTCACTCTCCTATGAAGAGTGTTAGAGTATAATTACCTACGTAGATTTTTTCCGTAGGGTAATAGAAGCATTTTGTTTCTTTATTTATTTATTTATTTTAAAGTTCCATTTTCCATGTGATTCTCATCCTTTTGTATACAAAAGGCAAATGGTAAAAACAAATGAAGTAGAAAATATTAACCTCTTATCTGGTTGTTCAGAAATTGTGAAAAATCCTTTTTTATTCCTGTACATTACCTCACACAGTTTTAGAGAAAGGGCGCCAAACTTATAAGGCAACAGACATATCAGTTGAAGGAAGATTTCATATCAATACATTTAAAAAGAAGCTGAAGAAATCACAAAAGGAAGGAAAAACAATTAAAATACTTACAAAAGAACTTTCTAACGGGAATGATGATTTTCTAAAGAAGGAAACAATTGTTCATACACATTTTTTGTTGTCGTTGAGATGGAGTCTCTCTCTGTCGCCCAGGCTGGAGTGTGGTGGCATGATCTCAGCTCACTGCAAACTCTCCTCCAGGATTCAAGCAATTCTTCTACCTCAGCTTCCCGAGTAACTGGGATTACAGGTGCCCGCCACCACACCCAGCTAATTTTTGTATTTTTAGTAGAGACAAGGTTTCACCATGTTGGCCAGGCTGGTCCCAAACTGCTGACCTCAGGTGATCCGCCCACCTTGGCCTCCCAAAATGTTGGGATTACAGGTGTGAGCCAGTGCACCCGGTGGTCATTCGCTCTTTTCTTCCACCGCAGGCATGCGTGCAACCTCACAGGCCCTCATCTTCTCATTCATTCTAAAAGGGTTAGATTACATGATCTTTAAAGACCTTCCAATGTCTGGTTCCTTCATCCCTTCAAAACAGTTTAATGTTTCAATGTTTCTGATATTATTCTTTTCTGCATTAGATAAAAGATACCTGTGGAATAAAAATCATGAGTCTTCTTGCCCTGGTTAACTAAGTCAGAAGAAACTTTACATATTTAATTTCCCATAATTGCCCATCTCTCTGTGTGCCATAAAGACCAGGAGAGGTCAGTGTGTGGTGATCACAACAGAGCACCCTTTTGAAGTACTGGCAACTAACGGATGTCTTAAAATTTAAAATGTGGCAATTTACGTCAGATGAAAAATATCCGTGGCTGTAAATGACATACTTCTTTCAAACAGGAGGTTTGCATACATTGAGAAGAAATAAAGCAAGAGGCAGTAATATACTGGAGCAGTTTAGGACACGCTATCTACTGTAACTGCCTTGAAAACCATAGTAGCAATTTTCCTCTAGGTGTACTAGTATCTTTTATCCTAAGAGAATTAAAATTCTCTGATAGGCAGCTCCTTATAGGCAGACCTGTTTTCCACTCTGTAGCAAAGTGATTGTCAAAACACACACACTCTTCACAGTGGATCTGTCCAGGAGTCATTTCCAAAGTGTGTACAGCTATCAGTGCTGAAAAAATAAGTTGCATAAATATTTTAATATATAATATGACTATCGATGTATGATTCACATTCTATAGCCCATTAGGAACTACATCTTGCTGTTAGAAATAGTGTATGGCACTTTAAAAAAAGTGAGATGGAAGAGACAGAAGCTACAGAAGGCATTGTTCAAATACTGCTAGTATTAATAAGAAAAGTCTCAAAAGAAACTATGTTTCTAAAATTAAACATTTCCCAACAGATACAAAAATATACTATTTTCAGGTTTGTAAATATATTTGTAGTAATATCACATGCTTTTTGAGGACCATTAACTCAAATACAAAACTTCAGGATTATTGATTTGATTTTACCTAGTATCACCTTTTGTGTGTCAGGAGGAACATGTTTTCAGGATTAAAATATAGAGAAGGTATGCTTGGGTGGAGAAGAAGATAGAGAAATGGGGACTCTAATTCACTCCTAAGGTGAATGTAATTTAATATAAACTTTCTGTAAACAATTTAGGAAATAGGGTGCAAAGGTCTGGAAAAAAGGTCTAAATTAGGTGATACTAATTCTAACAATTACTCTTATGATAAGGAATGATTAAATATAATTGTGTAAGTATACATTATCTTTAACTTACTATTTTTAGTAAAGTTATATTTCTGAGAGCCCAAACTGAACACAATGAACATTTATAAGAGTTAAAATTGCAAAGAACTTAAATATTCTACAAGCTATAGCAACATTCATGCATCCACTAAAGTCCAAGTATTTTAATTTTTAGTGTTATGGAAGAGTGTTCACAAAGCATTAAGTTAAATGAAAATAAAAATAAATTAGTTACAATGCACACATACATACACACACACGTATTTGTATATAGCCAAAATTTTATTCAATGTACATTTGTTTATACATAAATACGTAAATGCACTCGTGACATAAATAAGTGAAAGTGAGTTTATATGAAATGTATGGAGTAACATTAAGCTACCTGTCACAGTGTCTCCTGCTCCATCTTCCTTTTACTAGCTGCAAAAAATATCCTCTAGTACTGTTAGTCTGCATTCTTCTGGCCCTTCCCACTGCTGATTAAGCCTTTGTTTCACATGGCAGTGGGATCTGGATGGACTTTACGGTGTCTGGTCTTTCCCTCCCCAACTAGTAAGACAAGGGAAACATTCTCTGGATTCTCTCAGATCCCCCCTGTAAAAGCCTCATGGTGTTTCTAGAGAAAAAAGCATTCAAATGGGTGGAAAGCCCATTACCGTAGCCCCATACTAATGTTCAACTTCCAAGGAATTATCAGTGTTTCTTCGATATTCTGGCGGGCTTTCTTGGTATCTAGCAGCCTCTGTCCAAGGTTAGCAACTGTTTGACTCCTCTGTCTCCCTGGATGTGCCTATGTCTCCTCAGAATTTTGGATGGTCGTTTATCCTTTGACCTGTTTTCATCTGGGTTAGAAAAGCCATTACTTTACAGCCTGAACAAGGCTTTTCTTGTTGTAAGAATAGGGACTTCTTTTTTTTCAGCTCATGAGATAACCAAGATAAATCCCAAAGCGGTTAATCTGGAATAAACAAACCACGAGAGTCACTTGTTAGATCTAATTCCACAGAAAGAGATATTTTATGTAATGCACTTAATTTGAGAAAATTGAAAGTACTAATTTTCAAACCTAAAAATAATAATGAACCATTCTATAATAATAATTACTTACATCATTTAAATACATGTATGCACAGATTCTGTTAATTGACTATACTTTATCTCTTGTATCCCTTTGACCCCATGGAAAAATTGAAATGAGAAAATTAAGCACATGCAAAGGAAACTATAATCTAAGGCTGGAATATATTATTCTAAATATGAGGGTTCTTTATGAAATAAAAATAGGAGATGGAAAAGCAAGATTAGTAACAGGATCAACTGGGAACTGAAATGACTTTTTTCCCCCCTTAGTACAAATGATTGATTAACAGGATTCAGAAAACACTTTGCTTATGTTTATTGATTAACTCAGACCAAAAGTATGATATTGGACATGAAGACAACGTGAATAATATTAAAGATGACAGTAATAATAATACCGATCATGGTGATTATTGTGATGATTTCAATTCCAGTTCCCTGAGAATAAATGCTTCCATGAGTTTTTCTTGATATAAGAATCATTTCACGTTATAAGTTTCTCAAATAAATATCACTATCATCGTAGAGGCTTATTATACCATTTTTATTAGAAAGTGTACATGTAATCATTTATTCAATATTCTTCATGACCCTATAACATCTCCATAATTATTCTCAATTTGGAGATACAGAAGAAGTGTTCGTAAGTATAAGCTTATTTCCTACAAGTTATATATCTAAGAAAAAAGTCAAACTATAGCCTCAGACTCCAAAATTCTATCATTTGCCTGTGTTTTCTTCTGCACAAAAAAGCTACAATGGTACTAATATTCTATGATCAATATGAACCAGACACTGTTTCTAAGCCCATATCACATCTAATTTACACAAAATAAATTTGACTTAGTTATTATTATCACACCCTTTTTATAAATAAAAAGACTAAAGCACCAAGTAGTTAAGTAGCTCATCAAAGATGGTACCTTTAGTATGGGAAGATTTGGAAGTTAGTATGTCTGGCTTCAGAGACTGTGCTTTCTTAGAAAGCAATATCAGATTGAAGTGTTTATGTTATAAATATATATATAGTCACACGCTGCATAATGATGTTTTTGTCAATGACGAGTCACACATACAATTGTGGCCCCATGGAACCATAAGATTATACTATTGAAATAATTTTACTTCACCCATTTTATGTTTAGATACACAAATAGCTACCTTTGTGTTGCAAATGCCTACAGTATTCAGTATAGTAACATGCTGTACAAATTTGTAGCTTACAAGCAATAGACTATACCATATAGCTTAGATGTGTAGTAGGCCATACCATCAAGGTTTGTGAAAGTTCACTCTATATAATAAAAATTCACATAATAACAAACCACCTAACAAGGTGTTTCTCAAAATGTATAGCCATGGTTAGTGACACATGGACATAGGACTATACACACACCGAAATAGAGAAAAGAAGATATATTTAGAGATTTGCAAAAGCTTCAAATGTTTGCGGGGAATGAGATAGATGAAAATAATTATTTCAAGGCCAGGCACGGTGGCTCAAGCCTGTAAGCCCTGCAATTCGGGAGGCTGAGGAGAAAGTATAGCTTGAACCCAGGAGTTTGAGACTAGCCTGGGAAACATGGCAAAACCCTGTTTCTACAAAAAAAAAAAAAAAAAGAAAATTTAGGCAGGCATGGTGGCAAGTGCCTGTAAGTCAAGGCTGGAGTGAGCTTTGATTGTGCTCTTGAACCCTGGAGGTCAAGGCTGAACACTGGAAGTCGAGGCTGAAGTGAGTCTTGGTTGTGCTGCTGCACTGCAGCCTGGGCAACAGAGTGAGACTCCGTCTCAAAAAAAAAAAAAGATTATGTCAATATTCCAAAATATTACCTTTTAAACACAAACATAATTAACATATTTTATGGTATTTTTTTTTCTTGGTGCACACACACGATAGTGTTTTATATGACTAACAGTATACTCTAAAGGTTACTTTGCAATATCCTTTATGTTTATTATTTCTTTTTTTTAATACTTTAAGTTCTGGGGTACATGTGCAGAATGTTCAGGTTTGTTACATAAGTATACACGTGCCATGGTGGTTTGCTGCACCCATCAACCTGTCATCTACATTAGGTATTTCTCCTAATGCTATCCACCCCTAGCCCTCCACCCCCTGACAGGCCTTGGTTTGTGATGTTCCCCTCATTGTGTCCATGTGTTCTCATTGTTCAACTCCCACTTATGAGTGAGAACATATGTTTATTATTTCTTAACTCATAAATAGTATAGGTTATTCTATCTACTTTTACTGCTTATATGTAGGAGAAAAAAGCACATGTACAATAAGAGTCCTAAGTAAACCTAGTGTAAATTCGTGTGCTGCAAGTTATGTGGTATGAACGTTGAGATGAGTGGCTCAGATATCACTTTTAAGAAAGTACTTTGATAAGCAAGGTTATGACAACTTCAAGCTGTTAACTCCTTTAAATTCTCCTCATCTTTTGAGGCAAGATCATGTTCTTGGCATGGCCCTTCACAATCATGAAGACTGCAGTATAGGACCTAGCCTCTTTTCCCTGCATGGAAATCCAGTAAACCTGGATTATAAGAATGTGTGGTTAAAGAGGCCAAAACATAAGACTGATGAAGGGTGAATTTAGAGATGTGTAGTGAATAATTAACTTTACCCAAAGGGAAGTTTGGCCTTTGTTCTTTGCTGCTGTTGGGTAACCTCTAGGCTCTGAGTGTCCTGCCTGAGAGGAATATCTTTATTCTAGAATTTGTCCACAGGAAATCTAACAATGTGACATGCAATGGAAGCTTTGAACCATGCCCTATAAGTTCAGAGTTCCAGATGAAGTAGAGACAAAATGCATTAGTCTTATCTCTTGGCTGAGGATGGGAACTGGAGACTAAAGTTTAGCCACAGAGACAGTATGTGATCAATAAAAATTCTGAACACTGGGCTGAGCGCGGTGGCCTGTGATCCCAACACTTTGGGAGGCCGAGGTGGGCGGATCACGAGGTCAGGAGATCGAGACCATCCTGGCTAACACGGTGAAACCCCGTCTCTACTAAAAATACAAAAAATTAGCCGGGCGTGGTGGCGGGCACCTGTGGTCCCAGATACTCGGAAGGCTGAGGCAGGAGAATGGCGTGAACCTGGGAGGCGGAGCTTGCAGTGAGCCGAGATCGCGCCACTGCACTCCAGCCTGGGCGACAGAGCGAGACTCCGTCTCGGAAAAAAAAAAAAAAAAAAAGAAAGAAAAAGAATTCTGGACACTAAAGGTATGGGTGAGATTGTCTACCTGTCAGTATTCTGAATATTGTAGCACATTAATGCTGAGAGGGCAACATATCTCTGAGCATGAGGAAAGCTTTGAGTTTAGAACCCTCTCAGATTCTGCAATATCCATTTCTTCATTGAGCTGGTTCTAATGTGGATCCTCTGCCTGTTACAAACATGATGGGGAGTATAATTGCTCTCAAGGAGTTCTGAGTCTTCCTAGTAAATTACTGATCTTGGAATCCATAGGGATCTATAAATTTGAAGTCAGCTAGTCTAAAGTGAGAGTGGCCCAGGAGGCCCCTGAAATTATGACTGGTATCTGAAGTGAGAGTAAGTCTCGTAGGGACTATTCTCTCATTCTGTGCAGTTTGCCCAACTCATTTGCAAGGGGATACCCTCAGCATAAGGAGCTTAATACCTTAGCCAGGACTCTGAGGCCGGGGCGTGGGTGGTGGTGCAGGCTCAATGCCAGGTTGGCTCCTAGAAGTCTGGAGAAAATAAACCCAGGAAGAGTGAAGCTGAAAAGCTTTAATTGCGATAGCAGATGGTGGAGGAGGAGTAGAACAAATGAAGAAGATAGACATGCTAGAGTGTATGTATTATGTGAGTGAGATAATTTTGTTTTATGAGAAGGCCGAAGCGCACATCATTTACCCAGGTCATAAGGGATACAATGGTTAAGAGAGCCATCGTCATTAAGAAGTTCAGTGGCAACTCAGCAGGCTAAAATAGAGGGTAGGAAAGGTTATAGAGTTTAACTTATTAATAGCAGTGGAGAATGTAGGTCATTTAAGAACCAGCAGAACCTTCGAGAGGATACAATTTTTGTAACAACCAGCAAAATCTAAGTGGCAGCTGAAATGGTTTAACCTGAAGAGTGTTACAGAAATCAGTAATAGACATAGCAACTCCAGGAGCAAAAGAAATGGGCAGCCAACTAGGGTACTGTGTAATGTAATCACAATGTAAAACATGATTAAACAAAGCAAGAATGAGTAAGCGGGAGGCTAAGAGCAGTAATCTTAATAAAAACCATAATACTTTGTCCAGTTCCTATAGCTTTCTCCCTGAAACACACTGACTAAAGAGATTTCCAGGTCTGTAGGAAGAAAGACGTGGCAAAAAAAGAAAATGCTGTTATAATTTTATCAGTCCTTTTCCAGATGCCTTGTGGCTATTTGCTTGGATGACAGCACAATGCCCAACGAAAATTGTGGAACTATGTCATTTCAAGAACTATGGAACACAGGGTCTGAGATGAGATAGATTATCTGATACATGATGTGTTAGCATGTTCTTCTCCCCATTAAACTGGAGTTCTTCTGATCTTTTTAACCAGGTTAAAAAGTAGAATCCTTGTCAAAGTCCAGTAAAGAGAGGGTTTACGGCATTAGAAAAATTACCTGGTAGTCATTTCACCAGTCTCTAAATATGTAATTATAATTGGATGTTTTGTGGTTAGAGCAATCTCTACATTGTGAACCTGGCTTGTGGCATAACAGCTATCATAGTAGATAATTTTAAAAAATTGAAGTTTTTAAAACTTCCCCCAGCCAAGATTATAAATACAAAACAATATTTTGTGATTCAGCAGGATGGTGGCGAATAGTGCAACATGTAAAGATCTAAGAAATGCAGAGCAGAGGGTCCCTGTCACCACTTCATTTGATTCACCAGTCTGAACCCTGAAAGTGAATTTTGTGGACTAACACAAGAGCACAGGTAGTGGCTCCGATAGCATCTGATATGTTGAACATGGAATAATGCTTGTGCGAAACATCATGTCGCTCCATTACACTGATGTTATGGGGTTCAGAAAACACACCTCAAAGCATGGTGCTTTGACATGCTGAATACTTTGAACTAAAGAAGCAATCTCAAAACCAAAATCTCTCTCTCGCTTTCTCCTGCCCCACTGTCTCTCATCTCTCTGCCTCTCCTGAAGCAAAGGGAGAGGGTTTTCTCTGAAGTTCCTTTATCTACCTGAAGACCGGATCCACCAAAGAAGAGCACAATGCCTTCGGTCTTCCCACTGAAATTTCATTAACCAACAAAGATGAAACTCATATCACAGAGGAAGAGACTGAAAATCAAACATCATACTTAGAGCCCAGACAAACTTTGTCCCAGGCTATCTGTTCTGCTGTCTCATTTATCTCTCCTAAAAATCATTTACCACCCCTCTAAAAATTGGCCTACACCCCCCATTTTCCATTATTCTATGAAGAAAAGTATTTAAACTTCTAGACCTCATTGGGATATTGAACACTCACCTTCCTGTGATGCTCCTAAGCACGTAAGTAAATTTCTATGCACTTGTTCTTGCTTATCGGTCTATTGTCAGTTTATTTCTCAGACTCAAATATCAAACCTCAAGAGATGACAGACGAGGTTCTTTCATCCCTATATCATCATGAAGAATTGGCAGTGTGATCAACAAGGGCTAGCAGGATGGAGACTTTAATAAAATATGTGAATTCCGGAGTATGAGAAATAAACCTTATGGATAACGAGAAACTACCATTTCAGTAAAATCTTCAGGAGCCTGAATGGTTAGGAGCATGCTGGAATATCCCCTCCCAAACAAAAGGCAAAATGCAGCGTCTTGCATTCCCTACCACGATGAAGCATGGATACCACCTAGTAAACATCTCAAGGTTCTGGAGACAATACAGTTCACCCCAAAGAATACTACCTGGATATATAGCAGGTGATATGGAAGGCTATTTGCTTTAAGGAGGCCTAGGGCAAGGAAGAACTCTGCAGTAGGTCCAGGCTATGGTGCAAACAGTGCTCTTGGCAGTATCTACAGTGTAGGAAATACCAGGGGTAGCAAAGAATGCACTTTGGAGTTAATGACAAACTCTATTGGTAGGATCCTAACATAAACCCATTAGAAAGACCATGCCCTTTGCAGCACAAAGATACATCATTTAAAAAACAGCTGTTGGCATGCATCTGTCTCTGGATAGAATCAAAATGATTTACATTGAGACACAGGTGAACTTGTATTTGGAATTACACAACAGGAGCTGAGTCTTGTCAGAGATTTCAAGTCAGGCAGGTCTAGTGGCAAATTTATTGAAAAACAGAAATAATAGATTTAGGACTGAGCACAAGTAGAACAAGAGAGCATAAGAAAAACTATGTGGGCAAGTTTCCTGGACTCCCATGTCACAAAGAACATTTGCACCATCACCCCTCCCTCAGGTTGCACCAATGGTCATAAGGGCCATTAAGAACAATTGAATGTGGATAAAGAAGTGGAAGCATGGTTTAGCCATGGGTTAGCTAAACATGTTGGTTCTATAATAAACTGGAGAGTAGCTTCATTGCAGGGAGGCTTGAACAACAGGCAAAAGAGAAAAACCTCTCCAATGGGTGAAGCTATGGGTGGTAAACCTGTTTACTCATACGATTTGAGGAATATCTGAGGCTAAGAGTAGTAGTTAACTACATAGATAATTATTCAGGAGACCACAGGAAAGATATTGAAAGATTAGTGACAGAAGGCCTGGAGTAGAGACAATCAGATGGACATATAGGAGTTGGGACAAAGTGAAGATCTGTGTATAAGATATTAATGTGCAAAAGGAAATATCCACCGTAGAAAAGACATTATCTAATAAAATATATATAAATGGCTAAGCCAATGGATGTTAACCAGAGTTTGTCAGCAGCTACTTAGTGGTAGACAAATGAACATACAAGTGATGTGTGCATATTCACAGGGATGAAGGATGTGCATGTAATCTTTTTCATCAAGGCTTATCTAGCTATTGCCTTCTCTAAATGTACAACGGAGAGCAACAAAGAGTCCCTGGCATGACACTATGCCTCAAGGAGATCAACTGGCTCTTAATGTCTTGGAATGGCTATTGATTTGTTCTCACAGGAATAGATATGTATTTCAACCATGGATTTGCTTTTCTTGCTTGCTGAGCCTCAGCCAACACCATTATCTAGGAGCTTATGGAACACCTGCCCATAGGCATGAAATCCCACACAACTGAGCTCCAGAACAGGGGACTCACTAACAATGAAGGAAATGTGGAAATGATGCTAAATTGCACTATGTAGAAACAGCTGGACTGACAGAGTTGGAAAGGCTTGATAAAGTTGCATCTAAAATGCCAGTTTGGAGGTAATACACTGAGGATGGAGCTCCATCCTCACTGAATCAGAGATTTCTCTCTGTTCCTTCATCCCAACTCAGAAGATTTTACAGTTCCAGGATCCATGGAAAAGCCATCACCTTCAATGGTCCATTCAGTTAATTTATTTTAATTTATTTATGCATTTCCAGAACTCTGGGCTCTGCTGGGATACAAGTCCTGGTTTCCAAAGAAGATACCCTTTTGATAGGAGACCAGTAGGCAGAAAGAAAGTCACGATATTTGCAGGAAAACTTACCTTGATTAACAGGGAAAGATAGGACTACTGATATATTATGAGGGCAGGGGGAAACACATAGAAAACCGAGGTGATGCTCTTGGCTGTCCATTAGCAATCTATATCCCCATTGTGATTGTCAATAGGTAAGTACAGCAACCCCTGCTGTAGAAGGGTGTTTATCATGGGTTCTAATGCTTAAAATGAAGATTTAGGTTACACAGCCCCACAGCAGCCAAAAGACCAGCCGAGATGACAGCTGAAAATACGTGGAATTTAGAATGGATAGTGGAAAAAGAATACAATGGGTTGCAGTCCCTGAACCAGTCACAGGAATGAGAGCTGTAGTTTGTTTCCACTAACCTCTCTCTTCCAAATTTACATGTAGGAAAGGATAATCACTGGAACTCTAGAGGAGCTGCTGCCTAAACGTGGGTAGAAAAGTGGACTACATGAACAAATAGAGGACTGTAGCCTCCAGATAGCTTCAGGAAATGACAGGTGGCAAGTGTGGTTAGCTGCCAGCCCGTGGCTATTAACTTCTTCAATTCTGCCTCTGTATTGAAAATGAGGTCATACATCTCAAGATGGCTTCAGACCATGACTAAGCAAGACTGTACTAACAAAATCTTGTCATTTACACTTGACGTAGGACCCTTCTAGTGAGCCATCTTTGCTCTAGAGCTCTTGATTTAGATGGCAGAGACTTTGTGAGATATGCATCATGGTCTCTTGGCTCCCCCTGAACTTTTCTGCCACATTCTTTTTCTTTCACAGATGCTACTCCCCAATTAACCTTTACTGTTCACTTAATCTCAGCATCTGCTTTCTAGAAGTTCTAATTGATGCTTATGGATTAGCAAGTTTTCTATGACAGTATCTCAAATGGGGCATGTCATGAAGGAGAAGGGATTTCTTTCACAGAATAAAAAATAATCCAATTCTCAAACAAAGTAAACTATCAAACCGTAATAAGAGCTCTATCATTCTTCAACCACCACACTCTGGAATACTCCAATGTTCATTTTGAAGGTAAAACCTCCCAGGACTGTACCTCACCAATGGCTGAGTGAGGCACACATCCCAGAACCCCAACTTGTCTTCCAAAATGCCACTCTTCTTTTTTTCTTTTTTTTTGAGATGGAAAAGAGTCACATTTTGTCACCCAGGCTAGAGTGCAGTGGCGTGATCTCGGCTCACCGCAACTCCGCCTACCGGATTTGAACGATTCTCCTGCCTCAGCCTCCAGAGTAGCTGGGACTACAGGCTCCTGCCACCATGCCCAGCTAATTTTTGTATTTTTAGTAGAGACAGGGTTTCACCATATTGGCCAGGCTAGTCTCGAACTCCTGATGTTGTGATCAGCCTGCCTTGGCCTCCCAAAGTGCTGGGATTACAGGAGTGAGCCACCGCGGCCGGCACAAAATGTGACTCTTCGAATGGCTCTTTTGACAGACTCCTCTGGGGATTCCCATCAGTTTGACTGAGGTTTACTAAGACCTACACTGCGATAGAAGTCTTTTCCTTCCCAGTTTTCCTCCCTGTCTGGTCCCATTTCACAGGTTATCAGACCTGCATCATGGGTTAATAGCTCTCATAACCTACTCTTAGTTTTCACTTCTCATTATTTTTCAAAGTCATTTCCCTCATTAAACCTCTTACATTCTAATTATCACCTGATGTCTGATTTCCAAGGTACCCCAACTAACACAGGGCCCACATCATTATTGTACTGAATATTTAAAATTTTTCTATATTTATATGAGAATTCTGCACATGTATTCTTTGTTTGCACCTACCTATTGTTTCCCTCTGGAATTGTGTGATATATATCCAATATATGTCATTCTAAAGCAAAGCATTTTAAATACTTGTAAAAACTCCCTTTTTAATTTTTTTCTTTATATATATTTTTTATTGACTATAGTAAAGCATTTTCTGAAACTTCTAAACGTATTCTACTTTAGATGACATTTCTTAAAAAACCTAGCATGCAAATTGGATTTTTTATCCTAAATGCACTCTGAATCTGAAGTTACAACGGGATCATCAGATTCCTCACTCTGTATTCTGCACTTATGTTAATAGGGTCTAAGATCAAATTTGCATTTTTCACTGCATGCAACAGAATCATATAAAAGCTACAGTCACCTAGAAGTCATATATCTTTTTCACATATGCTGGTGTAAAGACTTACTTTCTTCATTCCACATTTCTGCAGTTGTATCTTTAGAACTAAGCATGATACAGTACTTTACATTTATTTCTATTACATTTTATTTAATTTGCTTTGGACCATCTAATGCATCAATACTCTTTCACATTCTGACTCTGTAACCTAATATACTTACTAATGCATTCTGAATTTGTTGCACTTTCGAAACCATTCATCCTGCCATCTCTGTTCTGGGAACTGATATAAATGTGGACAGGCTCTTCTAGCATGTGTTTAAACATCTTCTTCCAGATTGAAATCAATCTATTTATTTATCAGTAGCTTTAGATTTGGTCCTTCACCCAAGTATGGATCTACATGACGTACATTTACTATCATTAATCCATTGTTCATTCTGTTTTCTCTGGATGATATGGTTTGGTTTTGTCCCCACCAAAATCTCATCTTGAATTGTAGTTTCCATAAACCCCACGTGTTGTGGGAGGGAGCCGGTGGGAGGTGGGAGGTAATTGAATCATGGGGGCAGCAACCCCTATGCTGTTCTCCCAATAGTGAGTTCTCATGAGTTCTGATGGTTTTATAGGGGGCATTTCCTCCTTTGCTCAGAATTCATTCTCTCTTCTGCCGCTCTGTGAAGAGGTGCCTTCTGCCATGATTGTAAGTTTTCTGAAGACTCCCTAGCCATGTGGAACTGTGAATCAATTAAACCTCTTTTCTTTATAAATTACCAGTTTCGGGTATGTCTTTATTAGCAGTGTGAGAACTGACTGATACACTGGACTATACACCAGGTGACGTGAAAGGCTATTTGCTTTGATGAGGCATAAAGCAAGAAAGGACTGTGCAGTAGGTCCAGGCTGTGGTGGCTGTGGTGCAGCACTCCCAGCATTCTCTAAGGCGTTGAAAAGATCAGTGGTAGAAAAAGATATGTGGTAGAGTTAATGGCAAGCCCTGTTGGTAGGATCACAAGAGAAATTCATAAGCAAGGCCACGTTCTCTGCAGCAGACATTTACGTGTCTTTTAAAAACAGTTGTTGGGATGTACTTGTCCCTTGATAGAGTAATTCATTTTTAAATTATTTTTTCATTAGATACTCTATCAAATCTGTATATTTGCCATTCTTTCAAATACATGTACTTGATAAAGAGGCAATAATTATTTATTCTTTATTTGTTTGGCAACAGTGGGAAAAAAAAAGAAATTATAAAATAAGTGGACGTTGTAAAATGAGGCTAAGTCTTTTTGAATTGGGTCCTTAACTAATTACCTCAAAGTTCCTGTAGGAAATACAGGCCAAACAGATAATAAAGTACACAACTAACGGTGGCTTAAGTTTAGGCAAAGGAATGGAGCCTTGCCTCCAAACCCATACACTACTCAGCTAAGTCAAGACATCCCTTTCCCTAGGCTAGAAGTAATCCTAGAGTTGCAACAAAAGCACTATCACTTAACTTATCTCTCTTTTCTAGCCTAGTCCCATAAACATTTCCCAACAAGCAAGAGCAATAATTTTCTTACAACAATAGGAAAGAGTAGGTTTTCATGGTCCTTTCCAAGCCTTCTCATTATGAGGAAATATAAGAAGCTTGACATTCCTTACCTTTCTAACCTCATAGAAAGACAAGTGCCCTAATGGCCAAATAGATTTGAATTCTATTTCTCTTCACACAGGTCTTCCTACACTTATCTCTTACTCAGTCTGAATTACAATATATTGTTCTATTCATTGATTCTGTTTCATACAAACAGTAGGTAAAGAGAAAAAATTATAGAAAGGATAGAGGCATACAACAAGCTATGAATTCTCCTGCAGGCCAACATTATTCTTCCTTTAATATACACTGACATATGCTTTAACTAAACATTCACTAAGCTGTTTTTCTCTTCAGCATACCCCACATGCAGTTGAATATGATTTTGTCACATTTCTAAGATCCAATATTTTGTCTAATAGTTAGGGTCCTTTTGGGTGCAAATAATAAAATACTCAACTTGGTGGCTTAAAAAATGATGGTGCAACGCAATTATTGATTTTTTTAGTCTTTTCCTAGATCCAAATTTAAGAATTCTGATTATCATTCATTATAGCAACTACTATCTGTGTAAACCTATAATTCCATTCGAGATCACAGATTGTTGATCCATACCGATGTTAAAATTCTGCTGATATATCTTTGCATAACGTCAGTTAAAATAGCAATTTAGGCAGTATGGGTACCTTTACAGAATCAAAGGACAGGACACTTTTGTGAGATTTTTAAAAATAATTTTATTATTTTTGCCAGAGATGCTCAAATTAAAATATGGGTATTAATCAGACTGTGTTAAAGGTTTTTATATGAACAGAATGTCCTAGATATTTATCAACATTCAGCTACATCTAGGAAAAACAAAATGTATGCTTTTCTAGTTTTTGGTTTAGTGGTGTTAAATTTTCTGCTTTATAAAAAATAATTGAGAGCATAATTGTTCCTCATATATTTCTCTGTCATAAAGCAAGAAAATTTTTATCTGCTTATAAAAAGTTTATCACAATTATGTTTAAGAGGAATTTAATCTGATATAGTACCAGATAAATGTAGATATGTTAATATGATTTGTAAATATGACTTTTGCTCTAACAAAAAGAACAAAAAGGGAATCAATTCAGGGATAATTTAAGAAATGAAATGATTAAAATATAAAAAATGGTTGGAAAATTGAACTATAATCATACTGGAGCTTAAAAAGAAAGCAATTTTCACAAGTCAATGAAAACTTTCTTTGTCACTTTCAAATTAAGTCAAAATTTCTGTTTTCATGTGTTATGCAACCTCAAAAGCATTCTTTCTTACTTATGAGCCATAAGTAATAGTAGACTGCTGCACACTCCATTATATCTGCTACTTTAATGGGCTGATTTATTATTTCATTTGGTTTTAATTTTAATAACCATTTTACTTGACCATATATAATTTAGTCTGAAAGTAGCATTTATCAAACAAGCTGAACATCAAAAATGTATTTCAATACTATTTCAATAATTAAAACAATATACTACAAAAGAAAATTTGAATTCTCAAATGGTAGGAATAGAAAAAAGTTAAATAATACAATGCAATATTTATTATAGTATTTTTTAATTAATGAGAAATTTGAGCTTCACAAAATAATTGTATATATGTTTAACCATTCTGTATATTATCCATAAGTCAAGTTGGAATTTGGTGCAGAAATAATGTTTCTTAATATTATTAACAGAATTAACTCAAAATACTGTGAAAGCAATAGGTTGAAAACTTTAAAGCAAGAACAAAAATCTCAAAAATTGTCTTATCAATGGCAAGACTATTATCAAGTTTCACTTATTAATTCTATTAAAGTTGGTATTTTAAAATGCTTTTAGTATTTTAAATATCGGAATGTCTACAACAGGATTTCTCAACTTCTGTACTATTACAGTTTGGAGCCAAATTTGAGAATTCTGATTATTACTTATTACAGCAACTACTGTAAAGGAGGAAGGGTTGTCCTGTGCATTGTAAGATGCTTAGTAGCATCCCTGGCATCTATTCCTGAAGTATGCACCTGAATTGTGACAATTTAAAGTGTCTCTAGATGTTGTCAAATGTCCCTTAGCATGTGTATGTGTTGGAGGGGAAAGCGGTTGCCCTGGTTTGAGAATCACTGATCTAAGTTTATTAAATTATAAACTATTAAACATATGCAATTGGTTTTATGATTTTCGTAAGTCATATTTCCAAATCTTCAGCAAATTTTAAGACATACTCAATATTTGTGAAAACATCTACCTTTATAATTGAATAGAGTTTGCTATATTTTATGAGGGAAATAGTAGATGTTAATGAGTATTATATGTGCTAAAGATCAAGTTTCAGGACAGAAAAATAGCAGAGACAATAAAAACGTTGGCTCTAAGACAATGGTAATATTCCCTCAAACATAATGGAAAGAAAAAAATTATGAATAGCATCTATACAACTGTTTTTTTTCATAAATACTTTTATAATTTATTTTTGGAGGTGCTGACAAAGATTGAAACAAACACAATTATAAAATCTATTGTTTTTATATCAACATGGCTAAAAGAGATATATTATGAATTACAAATAATAGATATTGACACTAAAACACCACTTTCTGAGGCACATACACATTTTCTGCTAAAGAGATTATATGAAAATGAAAAAATGGCATACTGTGCCTTAAAACATGGCTAAGCAACCAAAATTATAATTCATCACTTCAAATTAAAATTTTAAATTTTTTTTGGAGAGTGTTTCCCTGCTTAGTCACCAACCTGCTTGAGAAAAACATATGGCAGAATCTTTAAAAAAAGGTCAACACAGTGGGTGAAGAGTATAATTTTCAAAACAACAGATATGTATTATTCCTGATACCACCTGGTGTACACTGAAATTTTGCTTTCTAAAAACATTTTTCTCTTCAAAAAAGGGAAGTATCATGAATATAATTTTGATACTTATAATTTTCTTATCAGTATAATTCAAATATAGACTACTATACTTGTCAATTATTTACTTTTCACTTGCCTTTCTTACTTCTGAACACATGGAAAAGTCTCAATAAACATTCACGAATCCACATTCTCTGCCTTCTCCTCTACCCAACATATAGTTACCAACACCCATATCTAGTGTTTATTTTTACCTCTATTTAATGCTTTAGGATTCTAAATAGAAATATTAATTAATTAATTAATTTTTTACTTCTCTTCCTTCTCAATTATTTGTCTACATTTTGGGATAGTTCTGTCATTGATGCCAGGACACTGGTCCATGTGTCGATGACTTTGATGGCTGTAGTGGATATTTGTATTGCTCTGTACAGGTTCCCTCATTGGGGTTGGTACATTTACCATTTACCTCCTTCAAAGAGCTGTTGCTAATGGCTTACAGCTGTGGCCCTCACAGGTAATTGGTTTTCTTCAAAGTGAAGTTTTCTTTCAGGGGAGTGGCCCATAGCTACTGACAGGTTCATGTGGGAAAACAAAAGACCACCCCTTGACTCAATTTGGACTATCTCTGTCTCTTAAGGGATACCTCCTTGTACTGGCTGAGTCCTTAGATGCAACCACACTGCAGCATGAGCTCCTTCCTCTGCTCAATTCCACCTTACAGTGCATCACACAGGAGAATTTCCACATAAATCTCCCATATATTTCTCCCTCCAGGATAGATGGGGTAGCAAAACAGGTTTCTGACTTAATCATAAGAGAAGCAAAGATTTAAAGAAGAATGAAGCCTTATCCCAGTAGGATTCCTATTCCAATCTCAGGGCTCTATTAGGGAAAAACGTAGGCCCCTGATACTTAAAATATCTGGGTAAATGTGGGAAATAAGTTCTCATTTCTTCTAAATTGAGGCTTTTCAACCTTGGCACTATTGACATTTGGGACTGAATAGTTCTTAGTTGTGGAGGCTAAAACCTGTGCACTGTAAGATTGTTAGCAACATCTCAGGTCTCCAAACCCCTCTCCCCCAAGCTGTGAAAATTAAAAATGTCTCCAGCCATAACCAAGTGTGCTCACCCTCAGAAAGCAGAAAATCACTCTTGGTTGAGAACCACTGTTCTATATTATTTGAACTCCAAATATTCCCCTCTTGCCCTTATCAAATGTATCAAATGATACACCTCTCTTCCTGAAAACCCAGCAGAAACCCCAAGAGAGGCAAATGACTTACAATAAAAACATTGCTTGCCCTCAGGATCTATACCAGTTTCCTCTTCTGGCAATCAGATCACTGTATCTTGACAGAGGACATGTTGAACCTGTAGAAAGAAAGAAAAGATCATATGCAAAGAACCTGAAGTACCTGGTCAATCCGTACTAGCAGGAGCCAAAAGAGGTTTGATGAATTATTTGCACAGGATGTTGTATCGGGGGTGGAGAATATAAAGTAAGATATATGAGAGGTAAATATTATGAAGATTCAGGGACCTGGCATATCAGTAAAATTTTTCAGCATCAAGTGGACTGATATATAAATGGGCATGCCCTCCCACACTAGATAGGAAGTGCAAAGGCCTTTTCAGGTTTAAGGAACACCATATTTCACACTTGGGACTTTCGGGGTGACATATAGAAGGCTACATCTTTGCATATGGTCCAAAGAAGAATAAGGTTGGCAATTTGCCCAAGCTCCATTGCTCTGTGCTTTGGACTATCTGGTCCAGCAAATGTATGGTACCAAAGATATCTTTGGATTTAATACTGAGTTAATATAAATCCCCAATAAGAGAACCACAATGTAAAAGTTTAGGGTATTAGAGCAAAGTCATGCAAACTAACGCAGAAAACGATACACATTAGAAAAGTCACCCATGGCATGTTACAGAGATGGTGTTTCTAATCACTGTAAACCAAGTGACCATTCAGCCAACACTGAGTTCTCTATGATCTATCAAATTATAAAACAGAACAATCTAAAAGCAATCCATGGTAACACAGAAGTGGTATATCCAGGACCAGGGATGAGGAGAGTCAAAAGATACAATATGAGCCAAAAGCAGACTGGAGTCACGCTATAGTCCAAGTAAGGTGAGGCCTTCAAGAGACCAGGCCGGAAAAGTTCCCCTAATGGAGAGCTTCAGATGATGCACTTGGACATCCACTTTGTGCAGAATGAAATGTGGCATACAGCAAGAATATATCTGGGCTCATGGACAGTGGCAGATGGCTTATATTACTGAACACAGGCATGAAAGAAGAAAAATTGGAAGATCAGTGACAATTTCTGGCTAAGAGGTATGTATATGGACCTATGGGAGTGACCATGCAATGCAAAGCTCTTTGTGTCATGTTTGGTACCACTAGGAAATATCTGCAATTAATCAAATAGAACTATTTAGCCCATTGATCTCAGTCACTGTTGTCATTTGTGACCCAGTGATGAGACTATGGGCACAAGAATAGAGAAGTTCTGTGGAAGACATGGGCACAACGTATAGGTTGCCACTTGTCTGATCTAGATACTCTTACTTATCCAGTAACAGAGACTAAACCTGACCCCTCAGTATGAAGCCATACGTCGAAGAAAGCAATCAGTTGTTTAGTGGCAAGTTAACTACATTTGACTCCTACTCTGGACGAACAGCAAATCACCTTGGATAAGACTGACATGTATTCCTAGAATAAGATTTTCTTTGTTGCCTACAGGGCCATTGTCAACATAATCACAATCTATTGACACAAGATCTCATACAACATTGAATCAGAACAAGAGATCGATTTTTTTCTTTTTCGTTGGTTGGTTGTTTTTTCTGAGTTGGAATCTCACATTGTCACTTGTGCTGGAGTGCAATGGCGCAATTTTGGCTCACTGAAACCTCCATCACCCGGGTTCAAGCCATTCTCCTGCCTCAGCCTCCTGAGTAGCTGGGATTACAGGCACCTGCCACCATGCCCAGCTAATCTTTTGTATTTTTAGTAGAGACGGGGTTTCACTATGTTGGCCAGGCAGGTCTTGAACTCTCGACCTCGTGATCCGCCCACCTCGGCCTCCCAAAGTGCTGGGATTTACAGACGTGAGCCACCGTGCCCAGCCAAGAGATCAGCTTTATGTTAAATTAGCAGTGGCAACTGGCCATGTATTGGGATCTGATTGTTTTATCATATTGGTTCACCCAGAAGGTGCCACCCTGATGTAATAGAGAGACAACTTTTTAAAGATGTAGTTGAAGTATGAGACAGAAAAGAATATTTTGATATTATAAAGTTCAGTATTCCAGAATATAATTTAAACCCTAAATTATTGACCATTGTATGTGTATGGCTCAGTGCTTGCAAGCAACACAATATATACATTTGGAAACCAAGGAATGGAAGTAAGAGTGAGTCCATTGGTTCATTTGGGTTATTTATACTTTTCTCCATTTCATTTTGGAATTTTTTTTTTTTTTGAGACGGGGTCTCGCTCTGTCACCCAGGCTGGAGTGCAGTGGCACAATGTCGGCTCACTGCAAGCTCTGCCCCCTGGGTTCACGCCATTCTTCTACCTCAGCCTCCCGAGTAGTAGGGATTACAGGCGCCCGCCACTCCGCCTGGCTAATTTGTTTGTATTTTTAGTAGAGCCGGGGTTTCAGCATGTTAGCCAGGATGGTCTCGATCTCCTGACCTCGCGATCTGCCCGTCTCGGCCTTCCAAAGTGCTGAGACTGCAGGCGTGAGCCACCGCGCCCGGCCCATTTTGGACTTTTTAAGCTGAGAGGGCTCAGTTGAAGCATTAAAAGATGAATGCTTCAACCAGGACAGACAGCAAGAGTTCTACAGAATTTTAAGTTACAGCTAGTGGCCTATCATTTTAGGCTCCTTATGCCGAAAGACCAGAAGACAAATAAAAATCTGCCTTACTTATAAGGGTAGTTTTTTTCCGATCATAAGAAAGAGGTAAAACTGCTATTATATAACATGATCAAAGAAGAATAGGTTTGGGGCTCAGGTGATCCACCAATGAATCCCTTGAAGATATTATGCCTGGTTTTAAAGAAAAATTGATAGTTTAGGAAACACAGTTTGAGAAAGGCATAGTATGTGGTGATTTGGAAACATCGGGGATGGAATTCTGGGAGATCTTCACCAAGAAAACTGCTTAAACAAGTAAAGGTGCCCTCAGAGTTTGAAGGTCCCTTAGAAAGAGAGCAAAGAAGGGTTAATGAACCTCTGTTATGCACCTGAGTTCAACTGTAGCCGTAGAGGCTGTGCTTCCATCCCACTAACTTGTCTTTTTTTAGTGCTCCAGAAAACAAGACTAACTAGAATTCTGGAAAAGCTCTTTACAGAGACAGCACACTTATAGAAGAGACACATGGACCTGAGTGAAACAGGTATTTACATACTGGATACATGATTTTCTTTTTCCTTTAGACGGAGTTTTGCTCTTGTCACCCAGGCTGGAGTGCAATGGTGCAATCTCTGCTCACTGCAACCTCCACCTCCTGGGCTTAAGCAATTCTCCTCACTCAGCCTCCCAAGTAGCTGGGATTACAGGTACCTGACACTACTTCCGGCTAATTTTACATATATATATATATATATGTAGAGGTGGGGTTTCACCGTGTTGGTCAGGCTGGTTTTGAACTCCTGACCTCAGGTGATCCACCTGCCTTGGTCTCCCAAAGTGCTGGGATTACAGGCATGAGCCACCGTGCTGGGCCAATACAATGATTTTTTATCTGGATTCCTTCTTTGAGTCGGACACACTCATGCTTCACACATTTGGAGATACAGGCTGCTAGTGTTCAAAGCTGCGTCATCACTAAGATTTGTCCTCTGCTATAGGGAACTGCCTTCTGCAAGTTGAAGCTCTCTCCTGGGGTGTGGTCCTCAGGATGAGTTCCTGTATTGATGACTTGCTAATAAGACTCACAAAACTTAGCATATAATTGTATTCATGGCTATAATTTATTATAGTAAAAGGATATAAAGCAAAATCAGCAAAGGGAAAAGCCTTATGGGGGAAAGTCCAGAGGAAATCAGGCCATGAGCTCTCAGTGGAGTCACTCCAGAACTGCTTATTTTCCCCAACAAAGAATTGTGACATGTGTAATATGTTGTCTAACAGGGAAGCGCATTAGGAAATAAGGGCCCAGGGTTTTTATTGGGGACTAATCACATAGGCACCCTCTTCTTGGCATGCACCAAAATTTCAGACTCCCAGAAGAAAAGCAAATAATCATACTAAATCATATTGTTTGCAGCAATAGTTCAGGCGTAGTGAATCACACTTATCCGTTAGGGAAGGCATAGCTATCCTCAAATCCAGCTTCCCAGATACCAGCCAAGGGCCAACCTTGGATGCAAAGAGCCAGCCCTCTTGCCTCAATTTGGGATATCCTGGAAAGGTCATCTCAGGACCAGATTGACTACAGTGCTTCACAGCTGAGCGTCTTGCTCTGCCATGCTCACTTTATGCCTTCCCTCCTTCCTCACAGTGATACTCAGGGCTCCTCCTAATACAATTCTGCACATGGCACCCCATCTCAGAGTCTATTTCCAGGCAACTTAGTCTAAGGTGATAGCCCTACTTATGACTGCTTAAGATAGTTTGAAGAGTAGATGATGAGGTATAATGGGGATATTAACTTCTAAAATGCCTGGAGGTTCTGATGTAGATTGAACAAGTACAAATGTGGTAAGAATCATGATTATGATTTTTAAGAATTACAATTTTAAGAATTATGATATAGGAAATTATACTTCTACCAGTGAAATAAGCTAACTGGAAGGTCCAATATGGATCACAAACCTTATGTTTGAAGTGTAAAATGGAAATAGCTATAACCTCAATAGATTATTGTAAAGAAAGAAAGAGGCATAATTATTTTAGACTTAGGAGTTATAATAGAAGTAGAGAGGCACATGGTAGATTGTTGGTAATACAAGCACAAACATACACGCACATACATTGACACACACACACAAATATCAATATCATGTTCTGTATACTCTTTGATGTCAAATGAATTAAATGAATTTGCAAAATAAAGTCCCAGGCAATCAAGAGCATTATAGTTGCTCTAAAATGTTAGTTGATCCTGATTCTAAGTGACTATGGCTACTTTGTGTGGAACACTAATAATTATAAATCTGTGTGTGAGTAAGAAAGATTTAATCTACCTTACTAGTTGGGACCAGTGAGAGGATTTAAGGTCTTAAGCTTCTGAGAAAGGGATAATCAAAGTAATCTTTTAAAATTTTTCTAATTTTGTAATCCTAAAACGTCTGCTACTGAATATAAATTGAGCATGTGCTTGCAAATCCTTCAGTTACACATCAGACAGCTCATTATTTAGTTGAATGTAATAAAACTGAGTTTTATTTGGCAAAATTAGCCTCATTGTTTTAGTTAAATTTGAAATCATACTCATTTGATAATAAATTGCTTCTAGCTACTTGCATGATTTTCTGCAGCCGTCTACACACCTTTACCATATCATTTGTAAGGCAATTTTATAACATTTGTTTCACTTCCCCATCTCTTTCACAGATGTGTGAGCCTCTTGAAGTAACTGTATCCCCAAGACTTATGATATGTACTGCAATATATGAAGGGCCATCCTCTGAACTCATGAAACAACTAACTGCATTGGAAATAGGTTTGACTTTCTGGTATTATGTTAGACAGTACCCAAATGTAAATTAAACACACTTCGTATGAGTTGGGGAAAATGGGGTTGCATTTTATTGCTCTAAAAAGCTCAGAAATGAGTTTTTATATCTTAACTTCCATAAACATTCCTCTTTTAGTTTTTCAGTCAGAATGCTGATGAATGACCTTTACCAACTCTGTATTTTCTACATTCATTGCTGTATTTTAAAGGAGAAGCCGGAATCTGTGTTTTCCAGGACCCCTAACCCACAGGGTTCCAGTTTAGATTCTTGTAGCCAGAGACAATCATGTACAATTTAGAAATTGAAAGAGAAACAAAAGTAATTATTCACCAGCAGAAGCTGTGAACAGACCAGTGGATATTATCAGAGCAGTTTTGGGGCTTCAGTAACGGTTTCTTGCTGTCCTCAGCAAAATTTTCCATTTCAGTCTGTTCAGGCAGCTGAATTCTTCCAGGACAGTGGTCCTGCACCCCTTGTACTCCTGTGTTCCCTCAGGGCCAGCAGAAGTCTCTATAACCTTCTCTATTTCAGGCCTTCCAATGGTCGAATAAGCCACCTATATTCAATCCCTTCCCATCTAAAATATCTAGTGCGGTTTCTGTTTTCTTGGCCAAATCTCATTGACGTAGGAGGCCATGAGAGATGGTGAACATGCATACATGCTGAGATGCTTCAAATTAGAGAGTATTACTTTTAAAAGTACAATCACTGGACTAAGCCTTAACTCAGTTTCTGAGAGGAGATAGAGGCAAAATTTGTAAAGCAAAAGGAGCAAACTATTTGAGGAAAATGCTTTTTATTTTATTTTATTTTATTATTTTATTTTATTTTATTTTATTTTATTTTATTTTATTTTATTTTATTTTATTTTATTTTATTTTATTTTATTTTATTTTTGAGACAGAGTCTTGCTCTGTCGCCCAGGCTGGAGTGCAATGGTGCGATCTTGGCTGACTGCAGCCTCTCCCTCCCGGGTTCCAGCAATTCTCCTGTCTCACCCTCTTGGGTAGCTGGGTTTACAGGTGCACGCCACTATGCCTGGCTAATTTTTGTATTTTTAGTAGAGACGGGGTTTTGCCATGTTGGCCAGGCTGGTCTCCAACTCCTGACCTCAGGTGATCCACCCATCTTGGCCTCCCAAAGTGCTGGATTACAGGCATGAGCCACTGCACCCAGCCAGAAAATGCTTTTTGTTGCTCTGATTTATTGTTAGTTGGTCAAAAGCACTGACTCTGACTTCTCCCTTTTCTCACGTTTTCTAGATGGCAATTACACTATGCATTTAAAATATTTATTATTTCTGTAAGACTACTGTAAAATGAGAAAAAAACTACCTGTTAAAAATTAATAAAACAATATTTAAATACATAGATATGTCTTACTTTTAAATAAGTAAAATATAAATACAAAGTGAAATTGAGATATATATGGTGCATTCTATGATTAAAATACAAAACTTACACTTAGAAGAAAGCCAAACACAAAAGATTCAAGAGAATTTATTTTTAAACTCTGGAGTATGACATCAGACACAAAAAGTTATCAAGTTATCATACACTAAATGTACATATATACACAAACACCAATTTAAGTCTATTGAAAACTGGCAATTTGTAATTCTTATTTCATCAATAACAACCAATGATTCAGAAAACTTTGAAATGACATATACTGATTTTTATTTTAAAATTTTATGTGCTTCTTGGCAGCAATTTTCTTTGAAGTAGTAACCATCTGCAAAATGAGTCATTTTATACATTTGTTTGAAATTTCTGAGTTACATTTTTTCTATAATTAAGTCTTATGTATAAAACCTAAATTGTAAGGTGTTGTGTTACTTCTAACCATATCTATATAATCAGTACTTTGACAGTGGTGAAATAATTTTCTCCAAGAAAGAAACATCTAATTTGAGCTGTTTTGATTATTATAATGGTAGAACTAGCTATGAATGGTTGTAAAAACTATTACAATTCAAATTGTGAGTGACTATTCTGAAACATTTAAAATATTTCTCTTCTCTCCCTGCAACCAACATCTCACAAAAAATTTTAAGTAGCACCATGCAGTTTTATATTTATTCATTTTTCAAAGCATCTAGTCAAGTTCAAGAGATAGAGAATGGTAATGGTTGTACAACAATACTAATGCACTTAATACTACAGAATTGTACACAATAATTATTAAGGTAGTAAAATTTAATTTATGTATATTTTGTTCCAATAAAAAATCTGGAAAAATGTTCTACTATTTATTGCTCACTGAAGTTCAGCTTCATCTTTCATTTCCTTTTCTTCAGCATTGATCACGTTATAATTGCTTTCAGGTAGGGTGGGTTGAGACACAAAAATAAATATGTTTTAAGTAGGAAAAACCCTAAAAATCATAGACAGCAACCATTAAAATACTTTATGGTCAATAAAAGTCAACTAATTCATAATAGGTCACTTTATATTAAAATTCAAATAATGAATGAACTGAATTTAGACACAAATGATAAGAAAATGAATTGATTTAATTATTTCAATGGAAAAAAGGGGATTATAAGAATTAGCATCTAATTATACGGGATTATTTCTCCCCAGAAGAGTAGAAGAGAAAAATAGGATAGCAGCTCAACTCAGTAGTAAATACCCTTTTGCTTTAGTTCCAGAGAAACTCTTTTCTTGGTTTAACAGTTTTGAGGTGTTCAAGCATGATTTGTCTGCCACCACTCTGTTTCCTAAAGGAAAGCATTCCTGTTCACTCATCTCCTCAATTTTCACAGAGGTTACAGTCAGTCATCCGACAGAGATAAGGGAAATCACATGAAGTCAACAGGCATACATATGTACAGAGGAACTCCATGGCCGCTGTCCATAGTTCCCTTGGCCCATGGCAGCCACCCATCACCCACTTAGCCCATTACTGCAATCAGTAAGCATTTGAAGAAGCCAAGAACATATACAAAAAAGTAAAGACATGTTTGTTAACTTCTTAAAAAGAGAAGTTGGTGGAAACAAGAGAGGGAGCTTTTCTTTCTTTTTCTGTTTGGAAACATTTAAATAACACTAAAAAATATTTATATCTTGAAGGTTTGATAGAATCACTTGTGTAAAATTTGAGTCTTGTTTTATTTTGGAGAGGAACAGTTTGACAGCTTTCTCAAATCCTACCATGGTAATTGGTTTGTTTACATTGTATGCTCTCCTGGTAATTTATATTTTCTGAGAATTTGAAGTCAATTTTCAAATTTATTTGAACAGAGTCGAGTAAAATATTGTCCTATAATTAGTTTCCTCAGTATGGCTATGTAAGTATTCTCTTGTTTGATTAGATTAGCTATTGGTTTATCTATTTAATTGGATTATTTCATAGTGCTAGCTATTAAATTTACTTATTAATGCTATATTTGTATATTCTAATCGTTAATATGCATTTATGCTTATCAATTACTTCCCTTTGCTTCCCATAGGCTTATTTTGCCCTGCCCCCCCAGTTCTTGAGATTGGCACATCATTTATTTATTTACATTATTTGTTTTTTAAGTTACATGAGTACTTGAGGATTGAAACCTTGAATTTTCAGATTTAGCTATAGCTCCAATTTTTTTTAGTCAACTCTATTAACAAAAACTTTGTATACAATGAGCGCTAGGCATTTAAAATAGGCCATTGAATGTATGATTTCAGAGTATGAGCTGTACAACTAACAACACAGACAATTTGAAGACTATTTTTTCACCACCAAAACATCTCATATCTTCTTGCAGTGTATCTGTCTCTTTGTCCCAAACCCCAGACAACCAATAATCTGTCTCCTGTCATTATAGTTTAATTTACTTTTACTAAACTTTTATATAAATAAAATAATCAAATCTGTATTCTTTTGCTTCCTTTCACTTTGGCCTAATGATGTGTAGGCTTCATCTATATTGTTGCATGCATCAATATGTTTTTAATGCTGAGTTATATTACATTATATGTTTATCCATTCACCTGTTGATGGATATTAGGTTGGTTTTCAATTTTGTCTCTTACAAATAATGCTGTCATGAACATTCTTGCACATGTCTTTTTATGGATATGTTCTTTTATTTGTCTTAAGTGAATGCCTAAAAGGGGAATGGCTGGGTATTTGGTAGCTGTATGTTTACTGCCAACTGTTTTCCTAAGCGTTTGTATCCTTTAACATTCCTGCCAGAAGTTTGTGAGAAACACTATTTGGTAAAATGTCCTCATCAAATTTGATATTCTAGATTTATAATTTCTTTTATTTTTACAGATATATAGTGTGGTCTCATTTATGGTTTTAACTTACATTTTTCTAATTACAACACAAAATATATTTTCATATGATTATTTGCCATTTGTATCTCTTTTATGGTGAAGTATATTTTCAAATCCTTTAAGCTTTCTTTATGTGGGTTGACTTTGATCTTATTATTGAGTTTTGAGAGTTCTGTATATATTTAAAAACAAAAATCCCTTGGAAAGTACATATAGTGCAACTATTTCTCCTATTTTGTATTGTATTTTAATTTTATTAATTGCATCTCTTGAACAACAAAAGTTTAAATTTTTATAAAACTTAGTTTTTTTCTTTTATGATGCATGATTTTTTGCATGCCATCTATGAAAAGTTCTAGAAATGCTATAATTTTAGTACTTGCATCAGGTCTGTTACCAATTTAAATTAATTTTTGTGTATAGTGTTAGGTAACAGACAACTTTTTTTTCCCATATAGTTATTCAGTTGAGCCTGCACAATTTCTCAAAAATTGCCATTGCCTTGGCACCTTTGTTGTAAATCAATTTACCATAAATAAAAAGTTTTATTTCTGGATTATCAATTCTGTTTCAATTGTCTACATGTTCATTCTTATGACAGTTTTAATTCTATGCTAGCTTTTCATTCATCTAAAAACTCTTCATTTGCCCTTCATGCTTGAATGATATTTTTGCTTTATATAGAATTCTCAGTTCATTTTTTCTTTAATCTATTTACAATTCTAGTTCTAGTGTCTTCTTTTCTCTGCGTATTCTGATGAGAAATCTATGGACATTTAAATTATTGCTCATCTGTATATTTTCTTTGGCTGCACCCAATAATTTCTCTTTATCTCTGTATTTGTTTGTTTGTTTGTTTGTTTTTTCCCCAGCCTTTTGACTATGTAATGTGCCTAGGATTTTTTCTTTGTATTTACTCTATGTGTAGCTTAGTTTCTTAATCCCATAAATGTATATATTTCAATTAATTTGAGAGGTCTTCAGCTATTCTATTTTTATGTTAATCTCCTCTTTCTCATTTCTTTCTTTCTGAGACTCTAATTGTCTGTATGTTGGACTCATCATACAATATTGTTTCATATGTTCCTGAAGTTCTAGGTTTCTTCCCAAGTTTGTTTCTTTCTTCTTCAGATTGCTTAATCTTTCTTCCAATTTATTGACTTATTGTCTTCTGCTTTTGTTTTGCTTTTACAGCCATCCAGTAATTTTTTAAGATAGTGTTTATTTATTTCATTTTACATCCTTCCAGTGATTTACTTTTTATTAAAATGGTGTTTCCTTTAACAATTTTAGAACTCTTTAGTTCTTTTTTAATTTTCTGTTTCTGTTATGGAGATTTCTTATTCTTTTCATCATAAATATGTGTTTTTCTAGCTAATTTTGCAACAGTTATAATAGCTGCTTTAAAATCTTTGTTTCATACTTCTATAGTCTGAATCATCTTACAGTAGTCGTTTGGAAAGTGTATGTTCCGTTGACAATGGATTACATTGCCTTAGTCTTTTCATGTAAAGAAATTTTAGATTGTATCTTGAACATACTTAATATTATGTTTGAAACACTAAATTCCGTTATGTATCTCCAGCTAATATTGATATTTTT
This sequence comes from Homo sapiens, assembly GCF_000001405.40. NCBI lineage: Eukaryota > Metazoa > Chordata > Mammalia > Primates > Hominidae > Homo > Homo sapiens. The sequence continues at coordinate 23,066,383 of NC_000005.10, read as the reverse complement.
ATTATAGGAAATTAATTTGCTTATATTTCAAACTATGACATATCTATGTTGGGCTAAAGTTTATATCAGCTTTTAGTCTGTCTTGCTCAAGTGTTATTTGTGCATCAGCCTGACTTGGGCATAGTTTTAGACAAACTTTGAGTTTATTTCCTCTGTATTTCTCCTGTCTAGTTTACTATCTCACTTTTCTGTGGCTCTTGGAATTATTCCCTTGATTTCTTCAACCAAAACAAATGGAGGCTTTCTATGAAGGACTTAGAAACATAACCTCACCTCCACAACTGCAGTTTCTTTCAGGGTGTATCTGCAAAACAAAACAAAAACAGAAAACAAGAAAGTGCTGGTCATTTACTGAAAATTTCAACACCTTTAAAATCTGCCTGCATTTCTTCACTTTCTGCAGCTCTCGGGCAGTTGTTTCTTACAGACTTACCAGAGGTCTTATTATTTGTAAGGCAATTAGTTGGATAGGAACTTACTCTTTTATACAATAGTGAAAATCTTTTATACACAACATTGTGACTTTTTTTTCCTTAGGACTGTTTACTTAATATGTTGTAATTTCTGTTTTGATTTGATTTGATTTTGTCTCAGGGGAGAAAGTACAAAATATCAGACTGCTTATGAGAATCACAAGAATAAAAGACGTGACTTAGCATGCAATTTTATTAATGATTTTAAGACACCAGTGAAGCAAGAAGAAATCAATGTAGTTACTCAGGCCCTTTCTTACAATATCCATAGCCTAGATTAACATATGAAATCTTTATGTTATGAGTGAGTCTACACCACTTATAAAGTAGAGGTCATCTCAGTTATGAAACATTTCTATTGTATAATGTTTACATACTACACATCACATTTTCTAAGGAGTCAGGCACCAGGATTTCTTATCCCAGACTAATCTGGACAGACTTGATACATTCTGCTAAAAGCAATATATAAATACTCTCAAAAACACTAGTTTCCTTGTGTCTATTTCATTAGCATGCTGTTTTATAGGATTTAAATATCCTTTTGATAGTGAGACACAACACACTGACACTAGAATAGAATAAAAGCAGAACTGTGTGTTATTTTGGACTCTGAAATAGAGAAGGCTTCGAGGCAGGGCCACCAAAGGGTTTGCGCCAGAGACTTATAACAGAATCTGGAGCTGCTGGGGACAACTCACGTATGGCAAGTGGAGTGGAGTGAGCTAAGTTGCTCAGGCTCCCAGTGAATTGGCTAATTTGAATAATGTCTTGGGCTCTGGGGTATAGAGGCTGTCCCTAGTTGCCTGTCACCTGGCTCTGGGGTGATTAGGGGAGGAACATCGTGGCCCTCGCATGTGAGAGCCCAGTGAAAAAAGAGGTTGTGAGGTGGACTTAAGCAACTGGTCAAGAAGATAAACTAGCCTCTAGGTAGATCCTCAAAAGTGAGTCAAAATAGCTTTTTAAAAGAAGTATACGACATGCCTAGAAGACTTAACATGAGTCATCCTTATTTCCTGGGGATGTCCACTCACTAAAGAGAGAATTGCATACCTGCTGCACCATGATTTAGTGTCTACAAGGCATTAAAAAAATTGGTTGAGAGGAATTCCAAATTCCCCTATCCATTAGTCCAATGTCTCTATCCATTAGTGATCTTTGGAGGTTACCACCTCCCAGGGTATCTTGGGCCAATATGAAGCAGCTTGAAATCATTTTTAGCTGGAGAGGGTAGACTAGAGACCAGTCTCTATAACTACATTTCCTTCTGCCTATTCTTGGCATGGAGGGGACCCTGAACTTTTTAAATGCTTCCATCGAATGTAAAATTTAAAGAGTTGAAAGAAGGTGGAACAGTTCTTGTAAGTGCCATAGCCATTCAGTCATAGAGGCTGTGGACTGTCTCTGCCAGGGACCGGGGAAAAACAGCTTATGGTTAAAACTCACAAAACAATGCTAGTAGGAGCCCTGTGAGTCTGAGTGAGTAGGGTCCATCAACACTCAAGCCCTGACTGGGTCAACAGGATGAATCAGAAATTTGGCCAAATGAACCTGGATACTGGCTGAAAGTCTTACCTCATTGTTATCAGGTGTTTGCTTCTTCCTTCAGGAGTCTTCTTTTTTCCCCAACACTGAGACCATCAACTAAAGGTATTCAGTATAAGAATAGACAAACTAAACATTGCATGAGGATGAGGATAAGCATCAGGTGATTCTTTTTTTTTGAGATGGAGTCTCGCTCTGTCGCCCAGGCTGGAGTGCAGTGGCGCGATCTCGGCTCACTGCAAGCTCCATCTCCCAGGTTCATGCCATTCTCCTGCCTCAGCCTCCCGAGTAGCTGGGACTACAGGCGCCCGCCACCACACCTGGCTACTTTTTTGCATTTTTAGTAGAGAACAGGTTTCACTGTGTTAGCCAGGATGGTCTCGATCTCCTGACCTCATGAGGTGCCCACCTTGGCCTTCCAAAGTGCTGGGATTACAGGCATGAGTCACCATGCCCCGCCAGCATCAGGTGATTCTTACCAACACTTGGTGAAAAGCTGGTGTGGGAGAAGGAAAGTACTTGAGTAGCAACATTTCCTTTAAATGAAGACTAGTATCACAACCCCAATCTTCCTGCAGGTCTCCATTAGTCTAGGGTTCTCTAGGGAAACAAGACCAATAGTGTGTGTGCATATGTGTGTGTTTGTGTATGTGTGTATGAGAGAAACATAGATATTAATTTTAAACAATTGACTCATGCAACTATGAGAGCTGTAATGTCCAAAATCTGAAGGGCAGGCTGGCAACCTAGAGACCCAGGATAGAGTTGATGTTGCAATCTCAAGTCCAAAGACAATCTGGAGGCAGAATTCCTTCTTCTTCCTGGTAACTCAATCTTTTTCTCTTAAATCCTTCAACTGATTGGATGAGGTCCATTCACATTATGCAGGCTAATCTGTTTTACTCAAAGTCCACTGATTTAAATGTTAATCACATCTAAAAATACTTCACAGTAACACCTAGACTAGTGATTGACCAAACATCTAGGTGCCATACCCTAGCCAAGTTGACACATAAAATTAAGCATCATAAGGCCCCTCTCCAACCCAGTTGTTTGCTGGTCTTTGGCCTCCGCTCTCTGCCTCAAAGGAAAAATGTGAGTTAGCTGAGCCTAACTGATACGAAGCCAGAGTGTATTCACTCTTTGGCTTCCTTGGATGTTTCAAGCTAATCTTAGCATTGTCATTACTTGTGGAGGTTCTTTTTAAATCCAAATTATTCTTGCAACAGGTCTTCTGTTTTGGAGCCAAGGCCTAGGATCCTTAATGGCCTAGGATTCTGAAATTGGCCTTAGTTTTCCAAGGAGAGACTCACTTCTTCTAGAAATGTAGAATGCTAGAAAGGAGTTACAACAATAACATTTTGCTCTTTTTCTCTTGTTTCTTATACACATGAAAGACCACTGGATTCTGCCTATTATTTCTTTCACGTAGAATCACAGGCTTACCTCAAAGTGGTTGCTCTCCCAATTAGGCAAAGAGAACAGTCATCTGAAGGAAAGGCTGATATTTGTAATACTGATATTCATAGGATCAGCTAATGAATTGTCATATGTAATGGAGTTAATATTTACACAACACAAAGTAGGTGTATGAAAATTATAAAACTTATATTCAAAGTGAGGTTGCTACATAAAGTAGGAATAATGATGGTATGGTCTGAATGCTTTTTTCCCCCAAAATGTATATGTTGAGACTTAATCCCCAAAGAAGTTGTAGTAAGAGGTGAGGCTTTTGGGAGGTGATCCCCACATAAGGGCACAGCTGTTATGAATGGGATTCGTGCCCTTATAACAGAGGTTTCTGGGGACTTGTTGGGCCCTTCCACTATATGAGGATGCAGTCAAATGGAGGCATCTATGAAGAATGAGCCCTCAGCAGACACCAAATCTCCTGGTGCCTTTGTCTTGAATTTCCCAGTCTCCAGAACTGTGAACAATATATTCTATTGTATATAAATTACCCAGTCTAAGGTATTTCGTTATGACAGCTTGAATGGACTAAGTCAGTTATTATGTCCTATTCTGGCAGACTGAGAGGGCCTGAGGCAACATGTTTTCCTCTCAAATTCCTCCAGAGTTTTAGGTGGCAATGAAAGTCAAACATAGCCTCATGCCATACGTGGGGAAGGCAAATGGCACAATCTTAGCCAAAAATCGCCATGGTAGAAAGCAAAAAAGTCAATAAAGACACAGAGGACAGCTCCGGAATTCAAATATAGGCCAGAGGGTTCTTCCTCATGGATATGAATATTTCTACACACGAAGATGCCATGTGGGGAGTCCAGAGGAGATAAGGGATGAACAGTAGCCAGGATATCTCTATATTCTTCAGATAGTCTATAATTGCATGGAATACTTTTCTAGATAATTTGAACTACCAATTTTTTTTGGATGTTTGTCCAATGTGAGCTAAATCCGCTTAGAAAAATACTGACAGATACCATAGATTATTCTACTATTATAATTATTATTTTACCACGAAAGCTCAAATGATGTTTGGATTTTGATGTTTTTGAGCTCAGCGTGTGTGGATGTTGTTTGCTGATGGTGATGGTGATGATTTGTAAGCAAAGATTGTGAAATTAGTAGATCTTTCTAGTGTTGTATATCTAGGTTTTGAACTGGTAATCCTGTAACAGTTTCAGGTCATGGTGTGGCTCCAGGAAGGAAACGTCATGTGGAGAAAGTGAACCTTAATTTGCCCAAGATAGCCTAATGGCTTTCTTCCATATTAGAGAGATGTATGAGTGTGTCAGTGATATGCCTGAGTAGAATTTGTGTCTTTGAAGAACTTCACTGACCCATCTGGGAAATAATATTCATAAACATGAATTTTGTATGGTGGGAAATTTTGTCTCGATTTCCAGCAGTGACTTTGTTATAGACAGATTTTTATAGTATGGGTCATTTCCCCCTCTACGTGACTATTTTGTAGAATTTATTCAAGCATTTACAATATTAAATTCTCTTTCATATTTAAAAATAAAAAAACTATCTTGCTGCTGTGCATATACAGATTCTTTGACTCTGTAGACACAGAGCTAAATAAAATTCAACATGAATAGTCATGACCACGTTTACATGTATGAATATTTGTCAAAATCACAGGACACTAAGGCTAGAAACGGATAATTTGTAATTTAGACAAGGATCAACAAACTTTTCTGTAAAGTGTCAGACAGCAGTAATTATAGCAGGTTATATGAGTTACATATGTTCTTATCTATTCTATATTCTCTCCCCCTTTATAAATAGTTCTTTAAAAATGTAGTAGAAAATGGCCGGGCGTGGTGGCTCATTTCTGTAATCCCAGAACTTTGGGAGGCCAAGACAGGCAGATCACCTGAGGTTAGGAGTTCGAGACCTGTCTGATCAACATGGCGAAACCCCGTCTCTACTGAAAACACAAAAATTAGCCAGGCATGGTGGTGAGCACCTGTAGTCCCAGCTACTTGGGAAGCTGAGGCAGGAGAATCACTTGAACCTGGGTGGTGGAGGTTGCAGTGAGCCGAGAGCGTGTCAATGCACTCCAGCCTGGGTGACAGAGTGAGACTCCGTCTCACAAAATAATAATAATAATAATAGCGGAAAATGAAACAAACAAACCTACAAAAATAAAAAATAATTCTTAGCTAGAAGGCCATAAAAATGACCATAGTTTGCCCACCTTTGAATCCTCATTTTACATATAAAAAAAACCTGAGGTATACAAATAACTTTTTCTAGAAAACATGCCACTTTAGCGTGACTAGACTCTGATCCTGCTATAATTCCCAGTGCTCTGTGGTTACTCTGAGAACACATCCCACCTCATTCCTAAGAAAGAAGTCCTGTGAGAAGTGGTGTTCCTAACTGTCTTCACTAGGCAAAACCTTCTTTAAGCAGCAACTGAATCTTCCTTACCTATGTTTCTTTGTATCCCAGAACACCAGGCAACATTTGTAACATCTATAACAGCCTGAGATCAGAATTGCTTCTTTGTAGCCCTGACACAAGTCACTTTGCCTGTGAGACACATAGCAACTGTATGAACAATCATTACACATTATTCATTGGGGCCTACCTTTTGGCAGGGGCTAGGTGCAGCATCAGTACTGGAGAAAAATCTCAAAAACGGACAAAATTCTCTGGTGTTGCAAGGTTATGTTCCAGAGCATGGAAGTGAGTTTGTAACTAAAGCAATACACATAATAAGAAGTACATTATACTTTATATGAAAATATTTAAAAAATGCTACAGTGAAAAATTTAAAAAAGAAACAAAAAGGAGGTCATTGAGAATTCGTAGGCAGGCTTGTGTATTTATATCCCGGGCATTTTAAGTACCAACATTGGGTGTTTAATAAATTTTAGACGTTTCACATAACAACAACAACAAAAAAACTATGGCCGGGCGCTGTGGCTCACGCCTGTAATCCTAGCACTTTGGGAGGCCGAGGCAGGCGGATCACGAGGTCAAGAGTTCCAGACCAGCCTGCCCAACATGACAAAACCCCATCTCTACTAAAAATACAAAAAATTAACCAGGCATGGTGGTAGGCACTTGTAATCCCAACTACTTGGGAGGCTGAGGCAGAAGAATCACTTGAACCCAGAAGGCGGAGGTTTCAGTGAGTCAAGATTGCGCCACTGCACTCTAGCCTGGGCACCAAGAGCGAAATTCCGTCAAAAAAAAAAAAAAGAAATCTAGTTGAGTTATTATTTTATTTTTCTAACTGTCTGGCTTGATAAGCAGACACAAAACTGTTATAAGTATTTAATTAAATTTAGATGCAGGAATCTAGTTATGTATTAAACTTGGTTCAGTATTGTGTAATTTTCAAGGCAGTCTAATATAGTTTGTAGACTTGTGGACAGCATGCTTATCACAACTTAGCATTTTGCTCAATAACTAAAATATTTTGCACTCAAAAGTAAAAATAAATACCATGTGCATCTCCACATTTATTTTTTAATTGATATAAAACTAAGTAATTTTTGTTTGTTTCTTTTCTTAAACCAGGACTCAAACAAAAACAGGCCAAAGAAAATAAAAATAAAACATAGGGTTCTACTTGTATAAGGTGATACATTTTAAGTACTTGTCAATTTTAAGGACAGTATTAAAAAAATAGCATTTTGGCTTTTGAAAATATACCTACTATTTACTTACTTGCTTAATATTTGAGTATTCCTTTACTTTTAGAAATTATTTATATGAAAAGCTTGTTATTTTTACTATGACATGATCCTCCTTTCTAAAGTTCATAATTACTTCACTTTTAGAAGTAACTCCGGGGCCGAGCACAGTGGCTCATGCCTGTAATCCCAGCACTTTGAGAGGCCAAGGCAGGTAGATCATCTGAGGTCAGGAGTTCGAGACCAGCCTGGCAAACATGGTGAACCTCTGTCTCTACTAAAAACACAAAAATTAGCCAGCGTGGTGGCTCATGCCTGTAGTCAGCTACTTGGGACGCTGAGGCAGGAGAGTCGCTTGAACTCAGCAGGCGGAGGTTACAGCTAGCCAAGATCAAGCCACTGTACTCCAGCCTGGGCAACAGAGTGAGACTTGGTCAAAAACAAAAAAAGTCACTCAGGAATGGATAAACCAAACAAATATTGTATGCTCTCTCATTCATAAGTGGGAGCTAAGCTGTGAGGACGCAAAGGCACAAGAATGATACAATCGACTTTGAGAACTTGGAGGAAAGGGTTGGGGGTGAGGGATAAAAGACTGCACATTGTATACAGTGTACACTGCTGGGTGGTGGGTGCACCAAAATCTCAGAAATCACCACTAAAGAACTTATTCATGTAACCAAACAACACCTCTTCCCCAAAAACCTATTGAATTGTTTTTAAATAAATAAAGAAAAAATAAAATAAAATCACTTCACTTTTATCTATGTTAAATTAGTAATTCTGGGCCTTACTTACTTTAGTGTTTCTACATCTGCATAGAAAGTTTTGAGACTTTAGTTTTCCAACAGACACTTGGTCTTTGGTTTATTAATATAAGAACATGAGGTTCCTTATTAAGGTCAAATATTTATCTTCAAAACCAAAAGGAACTAATAAATTGAAAACTTTACTATTAAATATTTAATATGGAATTCCATTGATGTTATTTTGGTAGGATAAGTGGTAAATCTTAAGGGACTAAGCTCCACATCAGTTGTCTTCAAATAAATAAACTCCACATCAGTTGTCTTTTCATAGGTCATCTAATCCTTTTAATGAACAGAAAAATAAAATAAAATAAAATTGCTTACATTTCACATATCTGTTTTTCATAGTTTTTTTATTTATGGAAAGGAAAACTAATATTGAGGGAGGTTAAAGGATTGCCTCAAGTCACACAGATAGTGTGGACTGGTCTGGGTAACAAATATGCCCACATTTCCTGCTGGATTAAGAGCAATTTTAATTTTCACTTATGCAATATCTTCTGCCAATCTGAGGGGCATACTTTGACAATTCTTTTCCATCTACTCCTCATGCATCTTAACCTTGGACCTCTTCCAGCATGGTGACAGCAAGGACAAAGAGATGGACAGGAGATGAGCAATTAAGTGTCTTATCCTGGAAGTAACGTGCATTCTCTTCCTAGATCATCCTCACCTGGCCCTGCTCAACAGCAAGAACACTGGGAATTGAGTCTCCTATGTGAAGAAGGGAGAGGTGATGGGATTGAGAGCAGGCACTGATTTTATGCACATGGGTAGTATGAGGTAAAATCCAATTTGAAGCCAAGTCTGCTAAATCTAGAGCTTCCTAAGTTATAATGCCACCTAAGAGTGTAATGAATGTGTTAGAAGTCAAAATTCTCACTTGTAGTCAATTCACTGTGTCAAAATAGATTGAAGACTCCACTCTGAAACACAAGGATGTTTATATCAAAGACAATGCTTGAAAAGCATTTTCATACTATAATGTGAGATTTCATTTCTCCCTAAGGCTGAGGATAGCAAATTGAAATAGTATCTTCTCATGACATATTATTTCAAAAGAAAAATATTCACCATCACAGTAAAAATTTTTATTACAGTAATTGTCCTCCTGACAACAGCAACAATGATGCCAATTGACAGTAAACTACATACCTGGGGAACTGACAGTTCTAGTGTTATAAGTAAGAATTGAAATCTTAACATTAATAAAATAGAAATTATGTCTTGTTTTATGATTTTGCTCTTTTTACAAGTTTAGAAACCCAAATATTGGCTTAGATGTTATTTTCTAAAATAGACTGTATTATAACATTTATTTTAATATCACAAATTTGTCCCTAGATCTGTCAAATCACTTTTAATGAGGATTTTAAATAGGAATAGAAAAGCTTAGCCGACTCAACTACTAATTTAAAAAAATACATTTTTCTTTTCATCGTCTGTCAAAATCAAACATCCAATTCCTTTATTTCTCAAGTGAAGCGTAGAATGTTTAATCTCCTTGTAAACCAGGATTGTTCACTTTTGCCTTACATCTGAAACTGAGAGTTTTAAATGGCAGCACAATCACACTTTAACTTTCCTTGCCAAAAGCCATCAATAATGCAGTGCTTAAATGTGTTCTAGTTGAATCTCTTTCACTGTCTGCATTCTGATGCCCTCCACTACAGGTCTCTTCTTTCATAGATTACTGTGTCTATTGCTATCATAGAATATTTAGTGGAGAGGGCATCCTAGAGGCTTAGTGAAAATGAGAATATAATTCCTTTGTCAGAATCCAGTTCTATTTCTACAGCTTCAGAATCCAATTGGCAACTGCCTCATCATTTGGCAGGCGTCTGGCCTTTCACAGACCCAAGGCAGAGAGGCTGGGCTGAAACAAACTATATGGCTCTTATTGTTCTTTGAAATTTGAAGATTCAATAAAATTATAATGAGGATTGTAGAATTCTGTTATTTAGTTTATGTCGATCTATCTATCTTCCTGTCTAGCTAGTCTTTCTCTTACTGTTTGTCAACATTTTCTTCATATAAAAATCCTTTTATTTGTATTTTAAAATTCTATTTGTCTGTTTCTCTCTGGTTAAATTGAAAAATTGTGACTTCAAAATAAACATAAGCCCTGGCAAAGACTAGCTACTCTCTTTAATTCTTCCTGTTTAGCCTATATTTTTAAATCTTTGACACCTGAAGAACCCACAATCCATTGATCCTATGACATCTTTATGTGCCCTAACCACTTCATATCCTCTTCTCTCCATTCCAAGCTTAACTTCTATGAATCACAATTATAATCTCCCTTTTTTCTCAACTTTTTGACCTTTTATTATTTATTGTACTTTTTTGTTGAACCACAGGCCTGTCTTATCAAACTCTCTAATAGTAGGAGTCTGCCCTACACAGGTGAACAGAGCCTCCCATGACCTTCCCATTATACTGACTTTTCTCATTTATCACTCATCTCAGGAGGGCCTCTATGCCGGTCCACATGGTCCTATATTTCCCTAACCCTTTTACTCTTCCACGCTCCTCAACCACTGACTCGTATTTTATCCTCCGTCCTCAAACCTCCTTCACTCTCCTTATTCTCAGCTTTGATCTTGCTCCCTATATTATTGAAAAAAAAATAAGCAGACAATATCCTATACAAGCTTTTTCACTATATTAATCTTATTTACCAGAATTCCTGCATCTGTGTCTGTACATTTTACTTTCCTCTTATTATTTTAAATGAATCTATTGTGCTTAGATAAGAAAAAAAGCTTTATTTTTCTTATCTAAGTACATAGAGTGGGCGGGAGGCGGGGGTTAAAAGGCTACATATCAGGGAATATGCTCACTACCTTGGTGACAGGATCACTCATATACCAAGTCTCAGGGATGCACGATTTAGCCATGTAACAAATCTTCACATGTATCCCCTGAAACCCAAATAAAATTAGAAAAAGGGAAAGAAACAAAGAGCAGTCTCTTGAAGTAGGAATTAACAAGGTAATCAAACAAGCTTAATTGTATAGGAGTAGTTTTAATACTATAATTAGGTAGATACATATCTAAATGTGCACTTGAAGTCACCTCCTTTTGCTACTCAGAAATCTTTCCTAGCTCTCCTCATTGATATCCTCTGTCTCTTTCTTTCTTTCTCTTTCTTTCTTTCTTTCTTTCTTTCTTTCTTTCTTTCTTTCTTTCTTTCTTTCTTTCTTTCTTTCTTTTGAGATGGAGTTTCACTCTTGTCTCCCAGGCTGGAGTGCAATGGCACAATCTCTGCTCACTGCCCCAGGTTCAAGTGATTCTCCTGCCTCAGACACCTAAGTAGCTGGGATTACAGGAGCCAGCAGAGATGGGGTTTCAACATGTTGGCCAGGGTGGTTTCGAACTCCTAACCTCAGGTGATCCACCCACCTCAGCCTCCCAAAGTGCTGGGATTACAGGTGTGAGCTACCACGCCCAACCTATCCATCCTCTCCTTTTAAATTTTTTCTTCTGCTTCGTAGCTTCCCATCTAAACAATACGAAACAAAGCAAACCAAAGCAACTCCTATATACGTCTTCACTTTTATTTTACTGATCCCCAAATCTCTCCCTGACATTACCACTTTGCTTAATGAAAGGATAGTCCATTTCTACTGTCTCCAATTAGTCTGCTTGCATTCTCTTGAATCTGTGACAATGATATTTTCACACCCTTCCCCAACAAAACTGCCCCCATCAAGATCACCAATGACTGCCACATTCCAGATTTAGAGATCATTCTTGGTTTTAACCTTATTTGAACAACCAAAAAATCCCACAACTAAGTTAATCATTTAGTCTTTGAAAGTGTTTTTTAAATTTCTCTAGACAACATGCTTACCTGTTCTTTCCGGATCGTGTTCCATCTCTTTTACTGGTTCCCAGTTGGCTCCCTGACCTCTTAATTTTGGAATTTGCTAGTGGCAGTCTTTGGACTTTTCTGTGTTCCTTCTCTGCTCACTTATTTGATGCTTGCATTCTGTCTCCTGGCTGGCGACCCTAAATAATTATTTCAATCTCTTAACCTTCAGACCGTCTTAACTGAATGCCAGGCTGCATCTGGATACCTTCGCTGCTTCCATTCTGCTATACAACACTGGTATCTCTTGCATAGGTTATTTTGATGGCCTTTTAACTGGTCCGTTTTTTGTTTGGTTTGTTTTTCCCCACCCTCTGCTCATAAAGTCTATTTTGAGCACACTTGTCAAAATGGCTCTGTTGAAATATGTTTTATTATTACACATCTTCATTTAAACACTTTCAAAGGCTTCCCATGTCAGTCAAAGTAAAAGCTACATTCTGATAATAGCCTTATGGAGCCCTCTATGATGTCTTCCCCCTCCTCATTGCCTCTGGAACCACATCTTCTATTTCCTCCCTCTAGCCACACACTGGCCTAATTGTGCTTTCTCAAACGTGTCAAGCAAGCTACATCCTCCAGATATGAGTATTGATTCTCCTACCTCCCTTAAGTCTTGATCCAAGATTTGCCTTTTTAGGCTTTCTAGATACTCTATTTGATGTTGCATAAAACATGCCCAGGACATTTATCCTATTTCCTGCTTACTTTTTCCCATATCTCTTATTACTACCTAAAATGTCTTACTTACTCTGTTATTATTTTTGTTTCCCATCACCAGTACATTATCTTCATGTGGACAGAAGTTCTGTAAAGTGTTTTGTTAACTGTGTAAACCCCAGGACTTAAAATCATACTTAGCTTATACAGGGCATTTGATTAATTTTTTAATAAGTAACCTCTAGAGATATAATCATTTTTATAAAAGTTGCGTTTTACCACATCAGTGTTATAAATATTATTTTTAAAAATAAAATTTGATTAGTTTATATAGTTTGACATATAGCATATAAAATGTATAATATTCAAATTATATGTAAAACGTGTTGTATTAGTCTGTTAAAACAAATGGGAATATTGCTATACCATATCTGAGACCAAATATTGTATTTTGTTAAATATATTTTGAAGTTGAAAAGTTGTTTTTTATTAAACAATACACAATATATTTTAAAACTTTTTAGTATTCTGATAAAGAAAATTTTTATAAAAAATAAAGTAAAGGATTAAAAAGAGATTATAAATACCTGTGTAAATAACACTCAGGTCAATAAATAGAATATTCTCACTGCCAAGAGAGGACTATCTTTCATGTCTTTTCCACTCTTGTGTATCTGCTACAGAGGTGTCACTATGTTGCCTTTTATAGCAATCAGTTGCTTGCTTTTCCTCTGTAGTATTTCCATTTAATTATATACTCCTAAAATTATAATTTACTTTTGCCAGTTTTTAAACTTTATATGAATAAAATAATATTGATCATGTTTTGTGTCTGACTCCTTGGTTCTACATTTTGGTTCTAATTTTGAGGTGTGATTTTTTTTCTTTGTATTCTAACTAATTAATTGGCACATCTATATAGTATTCCATTAGGCGAGTATACAATAATTTACTCATCTGCACTATTTATGGATATTTTATTATTTCTAGTTGTCAGCTGTTACAAACAAAGCTATCATGAACATTTGTTTACAATATCAGGTACAATATGAAAGAATTGCCACATACTCAGAGGTGGAAGTGCTGGTTAGTAAAGTGTTCAAATCTTATTAGGTAATGCCAAACTGATAAACAAAAGCAGACTTTTATTAGTGGCTTACGGGCATTCTTGTTGTTCAACACATTTGCCAATACTTCCCGTTGTCCATTTTTGTAATATTTAATTTTTGCCAATTTGGGTTGGTATCTTGCATTACATTGCCTGTTCATGTGGCACTTTTGTGTCTATCAATAAGATTTTGAAGTCCTTGGTCAAATATTTCTCTCCTTTTCTTCTTGAGTTTCTTAAAAATTTTAAGGAATTATTTTTCTATTAAAGATACAAATGGCTTGTCTGATATATGTGTTACAAATAGGTTTTCCATGCAGGTTTTCTTTCCACAATCTTTAATTGACTTTTAATGAAGAGATACTCTTAATTTTAATGCAGTAAAACTTATGATATGCTTTTATGCCTTGCTTAAAAAGTATTTACCCATTACAAGGTTATGAAGATGTTTTATTGTGCTATCCCATAAATATTATATTGTTTTCCTTTTCACAGGAAGGATTATAATCCACCAGAATGAATTTTTATGTATGATATGAGAAAAGAGCTTTTTTAATTTAAAAACTTAACTGTTGGACTAACCTTGACTTAGGCTCATGCAAGTTTTTATAGATTTACATTAGCTTTCTTAACTGAATACTGCAAAAATAGTGAAAATGAATTATTATCATTGTCTAACTTATTGTTCGCTAGTTGCACATTTTTGCCTGATGTAAAATTTTTTAAATAATGCTTAAAAAATAAAACCAAGTAAATAAATAGCATTAATATGGCAATAAGGCACTTGAATTTTATATGGAGTCATTTTAATCTTGTAACTAGGGTGATACATATCTACACTTTCCAATCATGTAACATTTAGATTTTGCTCATTTTAAGTCAACATCAGTTGTCTTAATGGCAACATTCAGCATTCAAAAGTTTTCCAACTATTTTTCATAATACAATATTTGCCTTTTAATCAATGCATTCAAAATAATAAAATTATATTCTTCAAATACCCAAATTTTTAAATTATTGTATATGTAGAGTAAATCCATTTAGTGTTCTTATGAAATAAGAGAAAAGTAAAGCTTATAAAATTTTGCAAATTTGATAATGCACCACTGGAAATCCTTAACCTGATTTTACTTTGTTTGGATTTACTAGTTAAATATGCTGATAAATATAATTTACTGGTAATTATTTTATTTTGAGTGATGACTATATTGACCTTAATCTTGAGAAAGCAACCAATGCACAGGGTTTCAATTAAGTCCTGTGAACCATGACAGTAGCTTTTTTTACATGCCACAAGTATCTTTTTTATATATTTGAACAGTAACTGTTAGTATGAATTGTTCTCATAGTCTCGAAATCTGGATCTATATTCAGTATCTGTTTTTCTTCACATATTGGGGAAAATTGAATTATAGTAGGTGGATGTAAATATCTCAATAGGATGTACTGAAAAACACATCTTCTTAACCAAATTCCACATAAAAATTTATAAAATATACTCCAACAGAAAACAAATGGAAAAATAAAATTTATTTCTGTGGCCTTGCTTTTTGCTTTGGTTTTTAAGATTTAAGCATATTTATTTTAAAAGCTTGAATAGTAAAAGTAGCTGTGAAAAGTAGAAAATACTATAAATGCTTAAATTAATTTTTCCTGGCCGGGCGCAGTGGCTCAGGCCTGTAATCCAAGCACTTTGGGAGGCCCAAGCGGACGGATCATGAGGTCAGGAGTTTGAGAACATCCTGGCCAACATGGTGAAACCCCATCTCTACTAAAATACAAAAAATTAGCCGGGTATGGTGCTGCGCAACTGTAGTCCCAGCTACTCGGGAGGCCGAGGCAGGGGAATCCCTTGAACCCGGGAGGCAGATATTGCAGTGAGCCGAGATTGCGCCACTGCACTCCAGCCTGGGCGACAAAGCGAGACACCGTCTCAAAAAATAATAATAATAATAATAACAATTTTTTCCTATTATTTTAATTAACAACGGAAGTATACATTATGTTTTTAACTTGCTACAATATGAATTTAAAAGTATGAGACATAGGAGATTGCTTGAAAATATTGTTTGATATTGTTAACTATAAATACACGAATTAATATATGGGCTAACAAAGATAATTGGTCATCAGAAATATGTACTTATGAGAAGCTACTCCTTCAGTAAATACCAAATATCTTGAAAGAGTAGCACTGTTCTAAAACTTCATAAGATCATTGGTAAACCGTGTATTTTTCTCAGTCATTACTTTCCAAAAAACTTGTGTAAAAAGAATTTGTCTTGTAGCTTAAGGCTTCATTTTATCAGTCAAATTAAAATAATCCATATCCAAAGTTAGTCAAAGTGTATATTTACATTTTTAAAAAATTGACTTCAACCAGTGAGATGTTATAAATGTTTTATCATGTATCACGATTTCTTTCGCTGTTGTTGTTGTTTGAGACGGAGTTTCACTCTTGTTGCCCAGGCTGGAGTGCAAGGGCGTGATCTCTGTTCACCGCAACATCCTCCTCCCCGGTTCAAGCGATTCTCCTGCCTCAGACTCCTGACTAGCTGGGATTACAGGCATGTGCCACCACTGCCGGCTGATTTTGTACTTTTAGTAGTGACAGGGTTTCTCTATGTTGGTCAGGCTGGTCTCAAACTCGCAACCTCAGGTGATCCGTCTGCCTCAGCCTCCCAAAGTGCTGGGATTATGGGCGTGAGCCACCGCGCTCAGCCCATGATTTCAAATAGTATCTATGTTTAACCAAAAAAAAAAAAAAAAAAAAAAAAAAGAGAGAGAGAGAGAGGGAGGGAGGGAGGCATGAATTCCCTTGGGAATTCATGAAATAATAGATTTGTGAATTCTCAAACAGGACTGAGCAATATTGGGTTCTAGACCCATATTTGATATCAATTGGATTTGTATTCTTCACCAAATTGTAGAATTTACATAAATAATTTTGGCATAATAATTTTAAATCTTTTAAGTCTCAGTTTTTTTATCTGATAAATAAATATGTCAGACAAGATCAGGGCACAACAAACTAGGGGTCATTCGCCAAATGAGGCCACAATCGATTTTTGTGGAAAAAAGTTTTACTGTAACACACTCTCATCTACATATGATTTATTGCTGTGTTTACAAATGCACAGCTGAGTATTTGAAATAGAGATCATATGGTGTATGCTTTAAATAATTACTGTCTACTCTTCAGAGAAAATATTACTGACCTCCGGGCTAAATGATCTTTTAGGTTCCTTTCAGCTGTTGCATTTGTTAATAAATGCTATATAATGTGGACAGGTACAAAATGTGAAAAAGAAAAAACAAATTTTTGTTTTCTAAAAATTCACCAATTTACTCTGTTAATCATAGATTCTAGTAGCATATTTTTCCCAAATACTTAAAGCTGCTACTCAAAATGTTCTCATCGTGTACATGAATACACATGATATTGTCCAATTTTATCTAATAACAAAAGAATAATTAAGTAGCCAAATAAATGCAAGATAATCAGAAAGACTGATTCATGATAAGATTGCCACAATTAGAATTTTATAGCAAAGAACGTAGATTTCCTGGGAGAGCATCAGTGTGCTTTGATAAGATTTTACACAGTAATTTTATTTGTATTCACCAAACCCAGATCAAGATTAGGTGGTCAATTATTGAACTACTTCCAAGAAGCAGAGCTTGTCCGCAATAATACTGTCTATTGACCAGTGAAAGTTATTTAAAAGTTCAGCAATGTTTATTTCAATATTGATAATACATTCTTGGAAAATTTTAGAAATGAAATGGGCTGTATAAATTACTTACTTTAGAAAAATAATAACTATAACAAAAATGGAAGTGATGAACGACAATAAGTCTGTAATTGAAATTACAGTGTTTAAAAATAATAAGATAATAAAACCACATGAACAAGAGGAAGAATAGACATAATCTTATGCATAAAACTGGCAGTAAAACTACTTTTACCTGTCTTTAGCTAATTTGGGAAATATTAGCTGAATATCCAATACATTGCAGCTGCCTTTTCTTTCAAGGCAATTCTTCAGTTCTATCTGGCTGTGGTCGATGGCATTATTGTTCAGCAAATATTCCCTCTGTCCACCTCCACTCCTATAGGTTGCACTGATGTTGGGTTTCATCAGGTGACCTGCTTTGGCTAATAAAAATGGTTATATGTGATCACCCTACCTCTAAGCAGTGGCTTTAAATGTGCTTCAATTCATGACTTTGCATTCCTCTTCCCCAAGAGAAGCATAATGTTCTATACCTACTGCTTACTTAACTGTGTTCCAAGAATGAATAATATGTGAAGCTCACTTGAATTTAGCCTTCAGGTTAGAGTGGAGTGGTGACAGCTAGCCCTCAGACTTGTAGGCAAAAGTAAGTGTTGTCTGTAGTAAGGCACTGAGATTTAGGAGTTCGTTGTTACACAGCGTTATAAGTCAAAAGCTGGTTAATACAGCAGCCTTAGAAAAATGCTGACTCTATTCCTTTCATTTCTCCAGGAAAAGTTCCAGTATAACTTACAGACTTTGGAAAATCTTATAATATATAGAAACGGTAAAGAGATCCCCATACCGTAGAACAAAGTGTTATTATATTTCTGGAAGTTCAGACTATTTCATTGGTTCACATCATGAGTAATAATTCAAAGTGTAGGCTTTGCATCGTTCCATTTTTATATCACAGGTTGTATTTAAATTTCATTCTTGGACATCCATTATATTTCAAAATAAATATATAGGTACTATTTTCAGTTGTTCAGCCTCTCAACTCTGCAACTTCACTATCATCTGTATATTTGTTATATGCTCACCATGTCTTCACTTCAAAGGTAACATGTCAAAAAACTAAAATAATAATATTTTTAATATTTTCCTTCATCTCTGTATGCCTTACCACTATTTATAGAATTATTACTTCCAGAGTATTCATTTTAAACAGATTTTAACGATGCAATTTTCACCTCATAAAATATGCTATGTAGATTATACTACCTTGTTATACAATATTTTTCATATTATTTTGTCAATCTCTACACCCACTAAGAATGTTCTAGTCCTTCTGTGTGCCATTCAACTGTTTACCTAGGTTGGCGATATTAAATTTGATAATAGGCATAAAATGATTAGCATGTTTGCTGACACTACCTGTGCCCAATACATTTCATGATTTCTATTAGCTCTGGTCTACCTGCTCTGATTTAGATTTGTTCTCCCTCTTTCTCTCTCTCTCTCCTCTTCACATGCATGCACACAAATACACATTCATGTGTAAACAGTTGAGAAAACGTTATGTTAAAAAGAGTTTGCATTATTTCAATATGTTGGAATGAATTCCAGCAATGCTAATCTTGAGTCAAAACAGATAGACTGACGTTCATATAAGGAATAATGCAATGATAATGCATTATTCAAAAATAAATTTTTAATTCTAATCCACATCTTATTATCTAATTCACTACAGACAGGCTAACCTCTTTGGTTTGTGATTTTCTTATTTGTAACAAAAAAACTAATTCAGATAATTGATTTAAGAAAATGCATAAATCATTTTTCACAGAAAAGGTATGTGATGCATATTTGTTCTCATAAATTTTTGTTTTCATTATAAAATTACTTGCTATTTTTAGGCTTTATCTGCATACAAAATTATTATAAATAAAACAAAAATATTACAATTTTAAACATTTTTCATAAATTATTTTATTCAATCTTTAACATAAACCTTCAAGATGGATAATAAATTATTATTCCTTTATTAAAAATCAGGATACTGCATCTTAAAGATGGTAAATACCCTGGTCAGGATCAAGCTACAAAGAATATAAGTTATAGAAATGAATTTTAAACCCCAGTTTTCTTGCTACAAACCACAGGCTCTTTAATATGTACACTACATTGCCTCTTAAAATTTATCCCAATATATGTATTACAAAACGTTTTCAAACAAAATGGTCTCCACAATCCCCATAGTGAGTGGTCTTCACATTGCAATAATATAACGCTTACTCTTAATTAACTGAAATTTGAACTCCAAGAAAAATTTCTGGGTAGAAAACCAGAATGATAAAATTATACAAAGGCAAGCTGCCTGTTCTGTCCTATTATTTACCCTTCCTCTAAATAATTTTAGGTTCTTGAATAATGTCAAGGAAAATGCCACCAAACTGTGTTTGAACTCTGCGGGAGAAAATAATGAGTGGGTAGAGAAGAGTCTAACAATCATAGTGTACTTGTCCGTTCTCACACTGCTATAAAGAACTACCTGAGACAGGGTAATTTATGAAGAAAAGAGGTTTAATTGACTTACAGCTCTGCAGGCTTTGCAAGAGGCATGGTTGGGAGGCCTCAGGAAACTTACAATCATGGGGGAAGGCAAAGGGGAAGCAATCATGTTTTACCACGTCAGAAGGCGAAGGGGAAGCAAGCACATCCTACCATGGTGGAACAGGAGAGAGAGAGAGTGAGGGGAGAGGTCCCTCACACTTTTAAACAACCAGATCTCATGAGAACTCACTCACTATTATGAGAACAGCGAGGGGGAAATCCGCTCCCATGACCCAATCATCTGCCACCAGGCCCCTCCTCCAACCCTGGGGATTACAATTTGACATGAGATTTGGGTGTGGACACTAGACATACTTTATCACACAGTAACTTTGAACTATACTTCATTGCTTACAGTGCATTCTTCAATGGCACTGATCAAAGCAGATGTAATGGAGGGTCTGGTAACTTTAAAAAAGGCATACACACACACACACACGATATGCAAATACCTACCATAAAATATAATATATAATATATAATGCTTATAACATTATTTTCCATCACCAGATTCTCCATTCATTCTATGTGTGTGTGCATGTGTATGTGTGTGTATAAACACATGCATGTATATGGTTATGTACTTTAGGATTATAGTACATATAGGCATTTAGGCTTTGGGTGTTATGGTAATGCAGACTGCACCATGATTGACTTGGAGGAACAATGAATCCTCATGAGGCTTACAGAGTGAGATAGGCAGTATGACTTCCATTAAGGCACCAGGTGTTTATTCTATAGTATTGCATGAGGTGATGCCATGAAACAAAGGTGAGTTGTGAGATATATGGATATCTGCAAAGTAAATATTTAGTAACACAATTTAACACTTAAAAAATGTTAGCCTGCAAAGAGGATATTTAAAAAAAACCTTAAAATACAGATATTGGAGAGGATTTGGGAAGAGAGGATTTGCTGAGAGCTGCTGCAACACTTTAATTCCTACTCTCCACCAGCCCAAACTCAGAAAATATGCAACCACATTGGGATCCAGACTTTAAGGAACCCAAAAAGCAACTCATAGGCTGAGGGGGTGATGAGGGAAAATGTTACCAAAAGCCAAGCAAATTCCTCTCTATCAAAGGCTTATAGTGCATGTGGGGTAGAGAGAAAGGGTGTCTTTTCTCTAAATGAAGATTGACATGATTTTTAGAACACTTTCACGTTCTGAATTTAAACGTGTTATTACTTAATGGGGCAATAGAATCATCCATTTAATAAGAGTCAGGAGAAAATTCACAGGGCATGCTGACTTTTCATTCAAAGGAGGGTCATTATCACTGGATACACTTTAAAGAAAAAGTGACAAAAAATAAATCACCTTTTCGTTACATTCCATGAGTCAGGCTAATTCAAGATTCTAGTTTCATAGTGCCTGTTTATTTGAAATAGGCATCCCTACTATGAATCTGCTAGAAATCATGAGGGTTGTATTTCAACTCAATTTAATATTTATTTTATTATACACAACATATAAAACAACAACATAATGTATCATCAGTGTGCACATATGAACAAGATGTAACACCTGAATTCTAACACACTGCATTATGTAGGAGAGATAAGTACACCAAAATAAATTAACAGAAAATGAAAATGGAAACACCATAATGGTACAAAAACACTAAAACCAGATGATCTCAAACATAAATCATAGTAAGTTGGAAACACAAATACTTTTTTTATAGAAATAAAGAGTGAAGCCAGGAAATGCACCTGAAGCAGGAATTATTGAAGAGTAAGCAGGGTTTTGACAGGTAGTCCTGATGAGAGGAATAGAGATTCCAAACAGAGTGAGATGCATGAGAAAGAAGTACTCAGAAATAAAATACAGAATACTTTCAAGAGGCACTGGGGACATCAGTTTGAAGAAGATTCCTTGGTGTCTGTAAGGGAAACTGAGAGGTAACTATTAAAAATAAGAAGTCCATATAGAGGGTGAAAAATCCAGGAAAACATAAAAAAGATCTCTTGAGACATTCTCAAATAATTTTAACTCAGGTATTCTTTAACTCGGTGGACTTTAAGGATCATTAATATGATCCACAGGAACTCAAGAGTAAAAATGATCATGCAGAATATAGCAAATATCAATTTGTTGGATCCTACAGGAGATAATAAGATAGGGGCACGGGCAATAAATAATGAAACACACCTATGTACTAGAGTGATAAAGAGAAAGGAGATAACACGGATGTAGTAAGTGTGAAAAGGATTCAAATTAAAATAATTAACATTTCATAGAAATTGAGAGGAGAGAAAAAAATAAAAGTCACATAGTTTGAGCAAGTATGGTTAAAAGAATAGTGGTACAGCTGAGGGAAATGGAGATGTCAGGAAGAGAACCAAGAAACTAGAAAATATTGAATGTGTGAGTTTTTTTTTTTTTTTTTTGTTAACTTGATGGGCATGAATAATCAATAGAACACCCACATGGAGATGCTTGTCATATATTTAGACCTTCAGATACGAAAGTTCCTTTTAGAGATACAGACTTCAAACATTTATATCAAATTTAAAGAAGAGGACTTATACCTAAGTAAAATTCCAAGGAAAGAGAAAAGAGCAAAAATAAAACATTCTACATAAAGGAGACTGAACACGAAAGGTAGTGAAGCAGATGGAGAAAGAGTATTCATCAAGGAAGGGGGACAAAGATAACAGAGTGAAATGCAATCTAAGGAAGGAGATATTTTCAGGAGGAATACGATTCATAGTGGCAAATGTTTCCCAAAGAGCAAGAAAGATGAGAACTGTTTTTTAGGTAAAACTATCATCAAAGACACTGAGAAAACTTTCTATAATGCAGAGCTTCTCTAATTTTTCCTCTAGAGTAATACAAACCATACAATAGCTCAAAAATGTACACACGAGGGAGAAGAAAAGAGGGAATCAAAGCACTTCTCAATTCAGAAATTGGCATCTCATGTCAGAATATGTATGTATGTGTATATATACTTCAATATTAGCTCCTAATTTATTTGTATTATACTAATAAAAGAATTAAATTACACTCCTTTCCTAACACCAGTGATTCAATAGTCTAATTTTATAATTTTATTTTTAATGTCACTTCTTCATTTATGCAATTTAACTTTAGAGTGAAATTTTTGTTTTCCATACATGGTCTAGTCTTTTCAGCTGCCATGTTTTGATTATATTATAATTCCTAGAGATGCTAGAAATTTATATCTGACCTATCCTAGTTAATATGCCAATTTATCTTTAATGAATTCTTTAATCTACCATATGAGCATATGGAAAAATGGGTATTGAATTTAAAAAAGAAAGTTGAGTTCAAATTTCAGCTGCTACAATTAAAAAACTTGAACTAGAACAAAGTATATTAATTTTTCTGTGATTTGTAAAATCACTGAAATGGTAAAAAACTTATATTAAGCAGCTGACATGAGTGTGACAAAAATAAAATTATAGCTGCAAAGTAAAAGCAAATTGTCTGACAGCCAATAAAATAACAAATAATGGCTATTGTGTTTATTGACAATTAGAATTAAACTGTCTTTATGATAATAGGAATTGTTCTCCTTGGTACAACTTTGAAAAAATGATAAACAAGTTGCTGCTATTCTCTTACTAAATATCTAGAAACTACATAATAGCTCACATCTAGAAATTAACTGCTGAAAAGATCTCACATTTATTATTTGGCTGATTCTCAGAAGTAGTTTAAGGTACAGAAATGACAGTATTACCTAAATTTAAAGAATACAAAACCAAATCACAAAGAGGTTTCCAACAGAAAGCTAGACATAAAACACTCACTCTTGAATTCCTAGTTTCATTCCATTATTTAAATACAATTCTTATCACAATAATACAGCATCATTGATTTTCTCCATTACATTAATTCCACTACTCTAATATATAACCCTCTATGCGAAAATTTCAGCAAACTGATGCAGGTACAAAAAACCAAACACTGCAAGCTCTTACTTATAAGTGGAAGCTGAACAATGAGAACACATAGACACAGGGAGGAGAACGACAGGCACTAGGGGATGGTGTGGGAGGAGGGAGAACACTAGAAAAAAACAGCTAATGCTTGCTAGGCTTAGTACCTAGGTGATGGATTGATAGGGGCAGCAAACCACCATGCCACACATTTATCTATGTAACAAATCTGCACATCCTGCACGTGTACCCTGAAACTTAAAAAAAAATAGCCATGAGGATCATTATAAAAAAGTAAGACAAATGCTGTGAGTATCATCTTTTAGAATTATACATTTAGAGACATGTAAAAGTCATGTTTATTTGATTCCAAAATACTTTCAGGATATATGTTGAGGAATTCTTTGTTTGCTTTGTTTTTTTACATTTATGTAATTTTTATTTTATTTTTTGTATTCCAGAATTTTAAGTAATAAATTTGAATTTATCAGAACAGCTATACACTTTTAAGATTTTCAACTATAACATAATTTCAAACTAAAGTGTATTCTCTGTGTTTTTGAAGATTTTTTTAAAGCAAATAGCTTTATTTACTTTTCCTGAGTAACCAAGATCACTCAGGTAAATGTGTTTTCTAAGCTGCCATGACACCTGTGTATATGAATTGATCATGATTAGTAAATAGATAGTTTTAAATATGAGATACTGCATTGAGCTCCTGCTTTCATGAAAATTGAAGGTGTATAGTTTCATTTTCTAATAAACCTATATGAGGGCATACAAATTCAGGGAGCTGGTAATAATTTTAAATTAATTGATGCCATCAGGTTTTCCTAACAAACATAGGTTATGCCAAACGACCAAGAAAAAATCACAAGCATGCACAAACACAGAGACACACACACTCACACACACACACGCTTTTAAAAAGTTAACCTAAGCTAGGGTGATTAATCTTTGCAAAGAAGTTACTGTATTTTCTATATTCACATTAATTTTTCTCCTCTTCATTTTATAATCTAACCATAGATAATAAGTAGGTGGATATGTACATATGCAGACAAATAGATAGACAGGACTTTTATATAAGCTTAATTTAAACAATTTCGTAAAATTTAATGTGAGATGCATTCAGTAATAATTATAGCCATAGTTGGAATAATCTGTGAATAAGTCATGTAAGAAAATAATAAAGATTTGGAGATACACAGATCATGTTTTGCTCATCCTGTTCCACTTACACAATTCTATAAAATTAAAAAAATAAAACGGAGACAGAAAAATATGTTAGGAAAATATCAATCCCAGAACAGGGGAAGAAATCTGTAAAATTATTTATTTAATCAAGGACATTCCACTTATTTGGTTAAAATGTGTCTAGCATATCCTTAGAAACACGGTAAAAACAAAAGTAGTTGATATTTATCATATTGCAGATTATTAAAACAAAATCTAGTTTTATTGCTATTGACAACAGTTGACCATTACCGTTGAGGCAATAAAAATATGGATGTCTTTGTACTTTAAAAGTGAAAATAGATATTGTTCATGGTAGTTATTTTTTGTTGAGTTTTGTTTTTCTGTTCCTATCTGAATGTGATTTAAGATTGTATTTCTACTACTCTACGGAGATAAAATTTAATAGTATACAGTACTGTCACCTGATAGATTCTTAAACTGTAAGGTATACTTTTAAAATTCAATCTTCATAGATTAATAAAAATACAACATTTTATATATATATGCATATATAAAATTAATATATAAGACTAATATGTACCAACCACTCTGCCAATATCATAATTGCTGCCCCAAATCTGAATTATTTACAAATAAGAATAAGAAAATTTCTTATTCTTTACAAATAAGAAATAAGAAAATTTCCTCTTTTACAACTTCTACTCAAAATTCTACTGTAGGTCCTAGCCATTGTAAAAAGTTATATATAAATAAATCAGAAAAATCAAGAAGATAATAAAATGGGTTATTTCATCATTATGTTTTTGATGAATTTGGTCATTTTTTTGAAGTATTTATTTGAGGAGGCAACATGAAAGCTTCAAATAGCATTAAAATTATTATAAAAATAATATAGGCATATTTTGTCATAATTTATAATATGATGTATCTTGCAATCTATTTTATGCTTTATAATTTATTACACACATATTATTAGTTTGCTGGTGTTATCATTGAGTAGGTTAAATAACAGAAATTTATTGTCTCACAATTCTGGGAGCTACAAGTTTGAAATTAAGCTATTTGCAGGACTGGTTTCTTCTGAGTTTTAATGGAAAGATCTGTTCCGACCCTCTCTCCTTGGCTTGTAGACAGCCATCTTCTCCCTGTCTTTTCACATCATCATTCCTCTATGCACGTCTGCCTCCAAATTTCCCCTTTGTGTAAGGACACCAATCACATTGGCTTACAGCCCACCATAATGACTTCATCTTAACTAATTATATCTGCAAAGAACCTATTCCCAAATAAGGTCACTTCTGAAATTCTGGGGCTTAGGAACTTCACATAAGAGTTTTGGGAGACACAATTCAACTCATAACATACGTACATTTAATGTTACTTAAAACTGACTTGTTCTAAGAAATTAATATTACATATCTTCAAAAACTTGCATCAGTAGTCATTTTTCAAATGAAATTTGACATTATATATGTTTGATAAAACACATTCATCCAAGAGAACAATAATATTTGCTAATTTTTCACTTCTTTCTGAATTATTTCCAGCTTTTTTGCTTTTGAAAGCTAAATGTGCTGGGCCAGTAAAAGCTGGAAAATTATGTATTTTTGTAAGTATAGTTTATGTGAAATAAGTTTAAGTTTGATGCTCACAGCATTTGACATATTTTATTCAGGAGTCCAATATTTGCAAATACAAAAAATCTTAATTAAAGCTACTATAAAACATGCCTTCCACTTTCCTGATATAAAGTATATTTTCTAATTTGATGGATTTCTCATTATCAGATAAAGCTCTTAAAAGGGGAAGAGCTTGCAAATAAAACAAATAATGATAATTGTTATTGTTTTGGGCTGTATATAATTTAGTATATAAGAATTTTTCTCTAAAAATAATCATCAAGATTTCAAATTTCCTTAGTGACTCCATCGCAATAATGGGCAGTATATATTTTAATGAAGTCAATTTTATATCAACGATGCCTGAATAATAATGAAGAGTTTCCATTTCCCTCCAAAAATTCTTTTTGCCTATTATTACTTGTTGTCTATAGATAAATTAGCCTGTTGTTCATTCTGACGTTTTCTTTTTGTGCAATTAATGATACTCAAGTGTTTCTATTTACATATAAAAGAATAATTGAGATGGTTAACTTACGTAGTCAGTGAGGCTTTTCTTGGTTTTAGAATTCTTCAAATCCAGAAACTCCCTCTCCAGAATGTATGTCCTTGCAGTATGTCCTGGTTAAGTTGTCAGAACATTTGGACTAGCAGGATTTGTTTTTTTGTTAGAGGGCGCGGGATAAGGCAAGCAGTTGAACTTAAACCAGATGTTGGTATGAAGGCATTGACATTTTATGTGGAGCATTTGCTCGCCAGAAATATTTATATTTTCCTTTTCTATTTTGGAACTGTGTATCCAGTATGGACATTTAGAATTTCCTCCCCCTCTGCTCTCATTTCTTTGTTTTCAGCAGACCAGGAATCTCATTTCTTCTCAGATTGGCCAAACAATTTACTTAAAGAGAAGATTAAAAATTTTATCCTGACATAAATATTCCTGTAACCAGTATCATTGTGCAGGGAAAATGATTCTGAACAAGTTTGGATCTAATTGGTGGAAAGTGAGGAAGCAGCATTGTAGGTGGTATTTGCAGTGATGTGAAGTACCCCACACCCCACCCCTCTCCCACACTGCGACCAGTGCTGTTTATTTGGGCAGTGGTACAGAAAATCCAGTATGTAAGGTGAGGATACAGATACTTATAGGAAAGGCAGAGGATGCTCACCTATGCTACTCCATTACTGTGGGTTTCCTACTGGACATGCAGCCCCAGGTATTAGTCCACGGGCTTCTTGTCCTGCCAATTTGAGTGAGAAGACACATTCTTTGATAACTCACTGTTCTTCTGTCCATGAGCTTCCATTTCCCACTGCAAAAGTACTTATATTGATAATCTTTGTGTTTCTGAACAAGAATAAAATTTTAAACAGTGAGATTTACAGGTCCTTGAACTAAAGTCGGTTGAGTAAATTCACTTCTAATACATGATCCTCAGCTTGCAATCACCTTTTTTAAAGGTCCTCTGCTTTTTCAACACTTAGAGTTCAGGCAATCTCTATACAGTCTCTGCTTACAGCTTCTCATCACCCCGATAGCAGTTTTCCTCTAGAGGTTGATTACATTTGTATATTCAGCCCTCTAAATAATGTTTAAATGACTAAAATGGGTGGTTACTTGGGAAAGATAAATTTGACTCAATGGGGAAAAGTAAGATTTAGCATCAACCGACTTCATAAACCGAGCCACATACATAAGATATGTGTATAGCCAAAACACCATTTCATTTGTGTTAAGGCTATTTCACTTAGGTGTATAGAGCTACTGTCAACATTTTGCTTCTATATTTCTTTTTATAATCAAAAACAAACATGAAAAAACAAACGTGAAAACAATTATATCTATATTTTAAGTATTTGAACATCTTGTCATATTTGCAATGCACATCTAACTTCTTACTTCTTTATTAAATTCATTTGTTCTCTCACTGAGTAGAAAGTCTAAGAATTACACTAGTAACACGTATAAAGATCATTTGAAAATTCTTATGTTTGATTTTAGTTCCTGAGTTTCATACATATAAATATATAATTCATTAAAAACACTCCCATTAGGCACATCAAATTTTCAAGTGCATTAATTTAAAAAAAGGTGCTATGGCTTATTTCGATCTTACCTTCCTTAATATAAAGTAGCTATAACTTTCTGTAAATCTTCAATTAATAGACTTAGTATTTATTGACACATACTTGAGAAAATAAAATGAAATAATTTTAGTCATCATACTTCATAGCTGTCTTGACTAATATGCTTTTAATTTCCTGGTGTGAAATTAGTTTTTTTACACACGGAGTACGTGGATTTCTATACACAAAGATAAGTAGACAGCAAATTACTCCAGAAAATTTGCCTTGTAGTTGAGCAAGGACACAATGTACCTCACGTTGATACAGTTAGTCATTTTGCTTTTTCATGTGGCACCTGGATCTTCATCTGCTTTTTCCATTTTTATTTTAGGGGACAAACTATAACCATGAGCACATTTGCAGTAATGGTTGCCACAGAGTTGTAGAATTTTAAAGGTGGAAGAAACCTCAGAGATTAGCTCATTTAGCACATTAGAAATTTTTGGCTGAGATTTTGGCAGGCATAAGTAAAATAGTTACAGAAAAAAAAAAACGCACGACAAAGATTTGTGTTTTTCCCAAAAACGTGTTAGAACAGAACTTGTACTCTTAAAATGTATACTCCTAACGAGAACATTCATATGTCCCCAAGGCACCCCTTTTGTTCCACAGGTTCAAGCTACCACTCCTAATAGATGCATGTTCATTACCCTTACAGTCATTTCTGAGCCCTCCCACAACCCTTCTGAAAACAGTCCACTGAAAATTAATTTTGGGTTCTTTCCACTGGGAGCATAAATTTAGAGCTAACTCTGTACCGGCACTGAGGTACTTCCTTCAGTAGCCGTGGTAGCTGCAGTTTTGATTAAAGGGAAATTCAAAAAGTGGCAGCTCAGGTATTCAATTGAAGTTGATATTTACAGAAAAGTAATTTAAAATAATACAGTTTTTAAATACCCTAGTCCCCAGAAATGATATCCATCAAAACATTGCAGCCATGCCACAGTGCTAAATAGACAATAGGATTTAACAGTGAGCTATAAGAAGAGTTAATGGGGTAGATCAGATAAGAAATTGATAAGGGCACTGGAAAGAGTGGAGTCATTTTCCTTGTTTCTTATCTAATTCTGCACAAGGCAGCTGAGAGCAGTTTCTCAACATTCAACCAAATTAATTTTATAGCTGACTTTTCTTCCCCAAAGCATACGATTTCTTCTAATTCAAAAATCAAATGGCAGATGATCTTTATTTGAGTGCTGGATCATTTCTAGTATAGGATGGTGTAGTTTGCAATATTTAAGGGTGCTAATAAAGGACTAAAATCAAGAATTAGACTTTTTTTTATGAGAAACAACTTAAAGAGTTGAAATATGCTAAAAGAAACCTTTGCTTTAACTGTGCAAATGTGTCTGAGTTCTGTTAACTAGAGAATCCCCATGGCCCAGGGTGGCTTGAACTTTAAAAACTCACTCTAGAATGTGTAGAGAACTTCACCTGTCTTGCTACCCACATACATGGTATCATAATGCAATAATGACCAATCCCCTGGGAGAATTCTCAATCTTCTGCTATAAACTAAAAAAGACATTCAGATTCTATGTTAATCAGAGGACTTTTTCTCCTTCCTACCTAACATATTCACTCACATTACATATTTAGACAGAATCATTCATCTCATTTCAGAGTGACATACTATCTTGCCTGGTGTCTTGGTCAGTTTGGGCTGTAATATGGGTTGGCTATGTCCCCACCTAAATCTGACCTTGAATCATGTCAAGGGCAGGGCCAGGTGGAGATAATTGAATCATGGGGCAATTTCCCCCATACTTTTCTCATGGTGGTGAATAAGTCTCAGGAGACCTGATGATTTTTATAAGTGGGAATTCCCCTGCACAAGCTCTCCTGTCTGCCACAATGTAAGATGTGCCTTTGCTTCCCCTTTGCCTCCTGCCATGACTGTGAGGCCTCCCCAGCCATGTGGAACTGTGGTCCATTAAACCTCTTTCCCTTATAAATTACCCAGTCTTGGGTAGGTCTATTAGCAGTGCGAGAACAGACTAATACAGTAAATTGGTACTGGGAGTGGGTCTCTGCTGTAGAGATACCTGAAAATGTGGAAGTGACTTTGGAACTGGGTAACAGTCAGAGCTTGGAACAGTTTGGAGGGCTCAGAAGAAGATAGAAAGATGTGGGAAAGATTGGAACTTCCTAAAGACTTGGTGGGCTCAGAAGACAGGAAGATGTGGAAAAGTTTGGAACTTCCTTGAGATTTATTGAATGGCTTCGACCAAATGCTGCTCATCTAAGATAGAGATGAAAAGCTTGGGAATTGGAATAAAGGTGACTGTTGGTATGATTTATCCAAAAGACTGGTGGCATTTTGCCCCTGCTCTAGAGATTTTGAACTTCCAAGAGATAATTTAGGGCATCGGCAGAAGAAATTTGTAAGCAGCGAAGTGTTCAAGAGGTGACTTTGGTGTCGTTAAAAGCATTCAGTATTATGTATTCACAAAGTTATGGTTTGAAATTAAAACTTATGTTTAAAAGGGAAGGAGAGCATAGAAGTTCAGAAAA